>NC_000014.9:73096561-73248076 GCF_000001405.40 Homo sapiens | reverse complement strand
AGAGGATATGAGACTCCCACTGGGCCACACCCACAGCCACAATCCCAACACACACACACACACACACACACACACACACACACACACACACAGAGGATATGAGACTCCCAGTGGGCCATGCCCACAGCCACGGTCCCCACAACACACACACACACACACACACACACACACACACACACACACACACGGAGGATATGAGACTCCCACTGGGCCACGCCCACAGCCACGATCGCCACCACACACACACACACACACACACACACACACACACACACACACGGGATAAGAGACTCCCACTGGGCCACGCCCACTGCCACTATCGGCACAACACACACACACACGCACAGAGGACATGAGACTCCCACTGGGCCATGCCCACAGCCACGATCCCCACAACACACACACACACACACGCACACACACACAGGATAAGAGACTCCCACTGGGCCACACCCACTGCCACGATCGGCACAACACACACACACACGCACAGAGGACATGAGACTCCCACTGCGCCATGCCCACAGCCACGATCCCCACAACACACACACACACATACACAGGATATGAGACTCCCACTGGGCCATGCCCACAGCCACGATCCCCACCACACACACACAGAGAGAATATAAGTGCTCCTTGATCTGGAATCTAGAGTGCCACAGGGTCTCCAGAGGTCATTTGCCGCAAGCAGGGAAAACGAACACTCAGAAGACTTGTCTTGAGGAATCTTCTGATTCATCTAAAATGCTTAATGACATACATGTTGGTGCTTACCTGGGTGTTTTTTCCCTGAACTGTATTTCTCTAAAAATTAATGACTTATACCCTCCTCAGAGGTGCACAGACCATCTCCTCTGGCCCCCAGATCCTTGATAAATGAAGTCTTGGTGTACCAAGCCCCTTCCAGCCCCTCCTGCAGGATGACCGTGGGGCACCATTGCTACCGCTCCCGGGGTTCCCCATCTCCGTCTCTGTGCGACGGGAGGAACGCTTCCCATAGCAGACTGAGCAAAAACAGGGCTCAAAATGGTATAGACACACCATAGCTTCGTTTGAAAATATACATACATAAGGGGAGAAAGGATGGAAAGACCTCAAAATGGCTGCCATGGTGTTGCCACGGGCATGTGCTGGGGGGAGCAGGGGTACTGGTGATTGATTCATTATGGGTTGATCGATGGGGTATTTGACAAATGCTGGCTCTGGCAGCACATATACTAAAATTGGAACGATACAGAGATTAGCACAGCCCCTGCCCCCTTAGCTGGTATGGCATGCAAATTCATGAAGCATTCCATATTTACTTTAAAAATTATTTGGGAGGCTGAGGTGGAAGGATTGATTGAGCTTGGGAGGTACATGCTGCCCAGCTGACATGACACTGCTGCACTCAAGCCTGGGCAAGATCCTGTCTCAAAAAAAAAAAAAAAAGAAAGAAAGAAAAAGGAAAAGAAAAAAAGGAAAGGAAAGGAAGAGAGAAAAAAGAGCAAGCGAGAGAGAACGAGAGAGAAAGAAAAGAAAAAAAGATAAAGAAAAAGAGAGACCTCTTGCTCTCTCTCGAGGGACCTCTGCAGACCCTCTCCTCCCCAAAGGTGGGTCCTGTGGTCTACAAGATTTCCTGTACATTGCGAGCCCCCGCGCCCACCCAAAAAAAAAAAAAAAAAAAAAAAAAAAAATTGGTCGGGTACAGTGGCTCACGCCTGCAATCCCAGCACTCTGGGAGGTCGCTGCCGGCGGATCCCTTGAGCCCAGGAGTTCAAGACCAGCCTGGGCAACACAGTGAGACTGTCTCTAATATATATATATATGACAACGCCTCTATAATACGGCAATAGGAACTGTGGCATCAACGTAGGTATACAAGAGGCCCCGAGAGAGCGAGTCCCGGCCGCGCTCACCGCTGTAGTAGGGCAGCCACCGATACCGCCGCCCCTGGAACTCCGCTCCGTCGAACTCCGCGCACTGCTCGGCCCGGAAGTCCCGGGCGCCGTCGGGGCAGCTCTGCGGGGCGGAGGGGAAGTCGGGATCCAGGAGGGCGGAGTCCGAGGTCCGCCCACCTCCCGCCCCGCCCGAGCCCAGGGAGCCCAGGAGTCTCCCTTGCCTGCCCCATCGGAGCCGCCGGAGGTGGAGTCCGCCCCCCGGACCCCCGAACTCCTGTGCGTGCCCCTCCATGGTGCTCTAGGCTGTGGAGGGCAAGGCCAGTCCCCGGGAGCAGGGTGAGGAAGGGGCCCCCACGCAGCCCTGCTGTGGATTGGCGGGAGGACCCCAGGCTGGGCCAACCCAGCAGCCCGCGGCCAGGAGCGGGCATCCCAATGGGGAAATCGGCCAGGAGGGGCTGGGGAAGCTGGTGCCTTCGCCCGCGCCCCGTGAGCTTTACCTCCGTGCGACAAGAGCGGTGGCTCCGGGCGGGGCCCACGCAGCTGGAGCCTCCATCTCTCCTGCGGGACCAGAGCACCGGGAAGACCTGACCGAGACCCAACGTCCCTGCCCCCGTTCTGGGGCTCTCTGCAGGCCCCAACTTCTGCGGGACTCTCCAGTGGGAGCAGCAAGGTGAGAGGGTGTCCCCCGACCCCACCCCGTAAATCCCCCAGGTGGGAGTGAGCGACCCATGTTGGTACTCCAGAGAAGCGGGACTCAGAGCCCTACCCACCCTATAGTTTGGATTTAAGGCGGGACCACTCCACTGCATCTTAGGCAGATTCCCAGAGAAGACCCGAGGTGCATGAGATATAATACCCACCCGCTTGGCACAGCCATCCTGCGATCTAAGCAGGACATCAGTATAAGGCTCTTAGGATCATTCCTGGTCTCTCATTCCTCCTCACATAGGGTTCTCAGGAACAACCCCTATACAAACCGGGACAGAGGCACCTCACTACTCCTTCTGTGCCCCACCTTCTCCACTGACCCTGCCGGAGTGCAGCACACACAGCAAGCATTTAATAAATCGCTTGAAGTGGGGAACATCTGTACTCGGTAAAGAAACCACAGGAATTGGGAACTGCCGGTTGAAGATTATTTACCAGTTCCAGCAAAATTGACTGCACCTGCCATACTGCAGGCCGGTGCAGCATCAGGAGCTGGAGACCAGGGGCAACAGGCAGCACGCGTGCTCCAGCTCAGAGTGGAAGGCCCTGGGAAATGGTTTGATTTCCTGCGCTGAACTGATGCTGCTTCCAGAATGAATCTGCTCCTTGGTGGGTTCTGCTGATGTGGCCAGTGCTAGCCTAGGCCACGACCACCTAGCCCACCACCCAGAAGGCAGCATCCCCTGCTCCTGCTTTAACAAGCTGGCCCATTTTCATCTCTCCTACCTCTGGGAGTAGCAGGGGCGCTCCCGGAAGCTGACACCCCCTCCACAGGTCCGGCTGCAGGGGCTCCACTGGCTCCAGGGTCCCCAGGTGTCACTCTGCCGCCTCACCTTGGGAGCCTGCAGAAGACAGGACCATGCATCAGCATTGCCCACTCACAGCCTGAGCCCAGAGGCCCCTCCAAAGATGCTCTGCCTAAAACCCTCCCCTACCCATCAAGGAGTCTGGGATTCTCCCTTCCAGGGCCCACCTTTAGGACTCAGCAACACTGCCGGGCACCCCAAAACATATTCCTTTTCAGAATTAGCCTGCTTTCCTCATAAGGAGCTGAGAGCCAGGCCTGGAGGGCGGGAGCAGGAGCAGCTGGGAAGAGTTTGGAGTTTCAGGGGCCACTGGAGGGGAGGGACCCTACAGCCAGGGGCAGTTTGAGGGTCCAGGCATTTGTAGGTTAACCGTGATGTAGGGGAGGGGGGCCTAAAAGAAAATAAAGGGAAGCAACGTGGGGGGATCCTGCTAATCTGGCCGAGACTCCCAGGAGTACCCCAATATTCATCCCCTCCTTCTCCCATTGTGAGAGAATGCTTGAAAACTTGACTCAGCTGGGTACCTGGCTGCCCAAAATTTAAAAAAAAAATACATTTCCTGGACTGCCTGCAGCTAACTGTGGCTACATCACTTAGTTCTCATCAGTGAGATGTAAATACAAGTGTTGGGCAGCTGCCGCAAATAATCTCCTCAAGAGAGAGCCTGCGTGAGCCTTTGTCCTTTTCTCCTTCCTCCTGTACTCTTTCAGGCTGTCTGGGAAGCAGATGTGATGGCTGGAGTTGGAGCAGCCTTTTAGACTGTGAGGTAACTTGGAAATAGAGGCTTCAAACAGTGAAGCAAAGATAGAGGGACTCTAGAGCCTGGAGGATTTTGTGCAACAGAATAGCCCCAGACTTCTGACCCCTGGGTGTTTATATGAGAGAGGAATCATGTCTGTCTTATTGAAGAACTGTTATTTGGGACTCTACACAGGATTATAATCCTAGCAGGTACACTTTCCCACCAGAAAGATTGGACCCCTTGCAGCTGGCATCAGGAATCCACATGCCACACACACATTATCTCATTTCATCCTCACAACAACCCGACAGACCCCATTGCATGAATAAGAAAAGTGAGGCAGAGAGAGGAAACCACAGGGGAAGAAGTGGGCACAGTAGCCGGCCAGCCTCACTGCAGTCCTCTGCTCCCCTGCCGAGGCTGTGCCCCCACCCACCTGGGGGAATCAAATGAGACACTAGATGATTCCCTACAGGGTTGGACAGGGATTAGATGTAACTTCACAATTTTCCCAGGAGGCATATGGTGTACATGCAAACATTTGCTGGAAGGGGACTTTCTTTTAGGGTATCACCACTTAAGACTCAAGGAAAAATACCATTCCCACTTTTCAGAGAAAGAGCTCAATGGTCACACAGAAAAGCAGCCGGGCACGGTGGCTCATGCCTGTAATCCCAGCACTTTGAGAGGCCAAGGCAGGCAGATCACCTGAGGTCAGGAGTTCGAGACCAGCCTACCCAACATGGCGAAACCCCGTCTCTACTAAAACTACAAAAAATTAGCCAGGCGTGGCGGCGGGTGCCCGTAATCCCAGCTAGTCGGGAGGCTGAGGCAGGAGAATTGCTTGAACCCGGGAGGTGGAGGTTGCAGTGAGCCGAGATTGCATCACTGCACTCCAGCCTGGGCGACAGAGTGAGACTCCATCTCAAAAAAAGAAAAGAAAAGCAGGCTCTTGCTTTCATGGTGACCCCTGAGCAGCTTCGCTGAATCTCAGGTGAGGAAGGACGTTTACTCATCTCTAACATCCCTGGTGCCAAACATCTAGTTATCCTTGTCTTATAACAAAACCCAGAACACTGAAGCAGAACAAACCACGCACAAACCACGCTAAGCCTGCCGAACCACACACAACCAAGAAGGAAGGGCTTGCCAGATGAGAGGTCTTAGCTTTCACTTTGTAAAATATCTACTCCTTCAAGTCTAACTTGGACAAAAATCTCTAAGCTTTCGAAACCACTGAGCCAAAATATCAAAGTTTTCTCTGAATGAAAGTTAAACTGAAATTTACTTGGATCAAGTTTCTATTTCACAAGGAAGACACTGAGTGTTGAGCGTGAAGGGTGACTTTCCAGAGACAGCCTGCAGCCCCAGCTGGGATTCTGGCACCCGCCCCCCCCACACACAGCCTCATCCCACATTTTAAGTATTCAGGAGAGGTCTTCAGGGGTGGCTGCTTTCTTAGCTGCTGGGTTGGGCCTGGTTGTCAATTACCCTCTGACTAAGGCCTGTTTGGATGTCTGTCTTGGCTCCTTGGCACAGCAGCCAGCAAAATCCACCCTTCCCTGGAGCTGGGCTGGGTGTACTGGTGTGTGGCCAAGGGGTACCCCTGCCATGGAGCCACAGCCTGGCCATCAGGATAAGGCAGGGGCAGGACTGGCCTGAACAAGGGCCCCCTAAGGGACATGCTGTTTCCAGAATGCCCTCTTGCCTCCTGTGCCCAGCACCTGTAAGGCAGGTGTCCACTAGCCAGGAGCCCTAGTCCGTCCCATCCTAGAGCCGTGCTCTGTCCACACACTCCACACTGTCTCTCCAAGGAAGGAAAGCACCTTCAGCCACAGGCAGCATGAGCACACTCTTGCTCTGTAATTACCCAAACCGTGAACTGCCCGACATGGCGTGAAGCCGGAATGAGCTGATACAGCCAGCCTCACCTGGGGCCTGCCCTCACCTGTCTCATGCTGCGCTAGGCGCCCCACCCATGCCTCCTTCAACTCCCACCTGGAGCCACTCAGGGGTCCCCTTTCCTGCTGCACTGTTTCCAGGGGAATCAACTGCCCAATGTGCACGTGTGTAAGAGAGAGACAGAACACATGCACACCCGTGTGCAGACGGGAGCAGAGGCTGAGGCCCAGGAACACGCAGGCCGCCACCTTTATTCATTTACTCATTCTGTTCAGACTGACCGCTGACAGCATAAGTGATCCAGAGAAGGTGCTCGGACTGGGTGGTTCCTGCCCCAGCAACAGAGGGAGGCAGTGGAGCTGTGAGCGGGGCCACACCCCCTGCAGACTCACAGAGGGCAGGGAGAGAAGAATTCTCAGCCCAGGCTGCGCCCAGCCCCATCTGAGACTCACTGGGAGGAGGTGGCAGCCGGATGAGGCTACTCAGCGTGGCCTTAAGGGAGAAAAGGTTTAAGAGAACCAAGGGCGCTTTGGAAACCTTGATTTGTTTCATCTGCATGACAACCTCTGGGGTGGGCATTATTACTCCCAAATTAGAGCAGTCTAAGGCTTATTTGCCTAGGATCATGCAGCTGTCCAGGTGGCTCTGGGATTTAATCCTGGGGCCTGGACGCTGTCCTCGTGCCCCCTCCACCTGGGCTTTGGCCTTCATGCAGCTGGGCCACCAGCACGTGGTGAAGGACCTGAGAGTGGCATTTAGGAAGCAAGATTCATGGGGTGGCAGAGGGGACCGTGGGTAGCTGGCAGGTGGTCGAGAGGACATGAAAAAGGCTGCCTCTAGCCCACCCACCGCTCCAGCTGTGGCCCATGTTGGGTTCACAGGGCTCTTGAAGTGTCATCTATGGGATCCACTTCTAGTGGGAGAAGTGCCCACTGCCATCCATCCTGCCTGCCCCACACACCCCTGCAGAGGAGTCCTGCTCAGCCTCCGCCCACAGATGCCAGACGTGGCATCCCCCCCCCGACCTCCCCATGGCAGAAAACAGTTTGGGTCCTTTCGCAGGGATCCTTCCTCTTTCACTTCCTGCCTGCCTCACAGAGGGGTGGGCAGGGCTGTGGGTCACCCTGGGAGATTTCTCCTGGGGCAGGACAGGGCCCAGCTGCCTCTGTGGCTTCTATTCTGCCAGGCACTGAGCCAGGGCAACACCCAGCTCTGCAGACCCCCTCCTCCCCAAAGGTGGGGCCTGTGGTCTAGAAGATTCCTTGTACATCCTCAAGACCCAGGGACCTTCTCCAGAGAGCCCTGGCCTTTGGGCCCCTGTTAATGAAACAGCAGCTCTGACCACCAGCCAGCTTCCTGGGTCCACTGTCTTAATTCGCAGTCCAATACAGTAGCCACTAGCCGCATGCGGCTGTTTAAATTAATTATGGCCAGGCGTGGTGGCACACACCTGGAGTCCCAGCTACCTGGGAGGCTGAGGCAGAAGAATCACTTGAACCCAGGAGGTGGAGGTTACAGTGAGCCGAAATCATGCCAGTACACTCCGGCCTGGGTGACAGAGTGAGACTCTGTCTCAAAAATAAATAAATACTTAAAAATTTTAAAAATAAATTTAAATTAATTAAAGTCAAGTAAAATTAAAACTCACCTCACCCACATTTCAAGTGCTCAATGGACCTAGGGGCTACCTATTGGATAGCAGAGAAACAGGACATTTCTGCCATCTCAGAAGGTTCCATAGGACAGCCCTGCCCTAGGTGCTACCCCAAGGGGAATGGAAACGACTGGCACCCCAAACCTCTAGGCCAAAACACCCCAGCTTAGGGAAGCCGTGTTTGGCTCCAGGCAGAAGACAGGTGTCTGGTGGGATGGACCACCCAGCCCTGCACCTTGGCTGCACCCGCCAGGATTGGCGGGGACTTCATGGAGTGCTCCCACCACCTTCTGAAGGAGGGAAGCCCTGGGAAGGTGCCATTCCTACACACTGCGCCCTGCAGCCGGGCGGGCAGTTCTGGGAACCCTGGCCAGCTGGCTTCAAGGGCCCAGCCCTTTCTGAGGGAGCTCAGCGGTGCGGGCTCGCCTCCTCCCAGCCCAGCTTCCCTGACATCGCCCCTTTCCTGGGGACGTTGCCTGCGGGCCCGCGCGTCCCCGCCCCCGACTCCCCTGCAGGTTCCTCCGGGGGCCGGGGCAGGACCGCACTCACCGAGGACCCGGGCGCTGGAGCCAGCAGCAGCGGCACGAGCAGGAGCAGCCGCATCTCAGCCTGCGGGAGACGCATTGGGTTAGAGCGGCCCGGGGCTCCCGCAGCTGTCCTGGGCGCGGGCGAGAGTGTGTGGGCGCGTCTCTCCCTATGGCCCACAGGTGACCAGGAGACCCGCAACAGGACAGCCGGGTGCGCCTCGGTGCACCGCAGAGAACACAGCGTGAGGGCGCCCCGCCGGGCGGCTCAACATGTGAGCAAGAAAGGAATGGCCCATCCGCAACTGGCAGAAGTTCAAGAACAACTTGTTTCAGAGTTCCAGAGGGGAAAAAAAGAGAGAGCAATTAAAAATACTTCTATGTGGTTGAAAAACAAGTTCAGAATCCGAGTAATTAGACTCACTTTTAATTCAGCAAGATTCCTTTTAAAAAAGCTATTACATCAGATGTTTAAAAACTCCTAATATAGGCTTTAAAAAAATCAAGTCTCTGAAGACACTTTGAAAACCCAAATGCTCTAAAAGTGTTAATTGTAGCCCATTTAAAACCCAAGCCAGCATTTCTCTGCACAGGGAAGCTCCATAAGCAGCCTCCATAACCAACGTGTGTATGCAGTGCAGTGTGCGCCGTGCAGTGTGCGTGGTGCAGCGTGTGAGCCCTGAAAGTGCAGTGCAGTGTGCAGTACAGTGTAGTGTGCTCAGGGCAGTGTGCAGTGCAGTGTGTGTGGAGTGTCTGTGGTTTGATGTGTGCATGCATGCAAAGTGCATGTGCAGTGTGCGGGGCGGGTCCATGTGCAGTCTGGTGTGTACTATTTGGTGCAGGTGTCCAGTCGGTATACACGCTGTGCAGTGTGTATGTGTACATACATGTCGCTGTATCGCAGAATGACATAAACAATGTGCGCCCTTCAGTACAAAACATTAAACAAGTACTAGCGTGCAGGTTTGAACTTTAAAATCTGTAATTCTACCAATGTTCTAATTTTTTAAAGATATAAAATGACTTCTGCTTACAAGGATAAAAGACAGCATACAGAAGCCAAGCTCAGCAGAAATGTAACCTGGCATACTGAACAATGTACACACTCGTTAATTTGGCACAGTGAGTCATTGAGTCATTATTTTCGTGGTCAAGTTCGAGATTCCTGGGGTTGGAGGGTGAGGGAAGGGGGTTGCTGCCAGAGCCCTGCCTCTGCTCTGCTGGGGGCAGCTCCCAGAGCAGGAGCCCCCTGCTAGGGCCAGGCTAGGCCTGCTAGGGCGGGCGAGGCTGAGGAAAAGACGGGTGAAAGAAGAATTTTACTTGTAATTACTCAGAACACCACCGCCTCCGCTGCAATTTCACTGAACTCCAAGCCCATATCTGCCATTCCGAAGTCTGAAAAGTTCAGTTTTTTCGGTTCATTTGGTGGCAAACAACCCCTTCAACTCCAAGGCCAGTCCGGGTCTGGTCACGGGGCTACTCCGAGGGCCGTGGAAGCTCGACCTCTCCTGCCGCCCGAGGGCAGGGACCGGGTGGCCCCGGGCACGCAGGGTGGGCGCCCTCAACGTGTTGTTCCCGGGGAACGCGTCTGCCTTGAGCTAGGGCCGAAGGCGGCGACCCTAGGCGCCAGAGGGCGGGAAGGCGGGTGGCCGCCGACCAAGCCTCCCCCTACAGGGTCCCCAGCCGACTCCGGGACCGCCGCAGTCCGCAGACGCCCGTCCCCGTGGCCCCCGCCCACGGCCCCCCTCTGCATCGGTCCAGCCCTGACCAGGCACCCCGCGTCCCCACCCCAGGAACGCGCCGCGCACCCCCGAGGCGGAGAGGCGCGGTTCCCACGGGAGGCCCGGGGTGGCCGCGCAGGTGCCGGCAGCCGCTGGGGCTCCCGGACGCTCCAGGCCCGCGGCCCAGTGGCACCTCCCGGGAGGGGCGCACGGTCTCCAGGGCCTCGCTTGTACCACGCGCCGGGAGCGGCATTCGCCTGAAGGGAAGGTCCGAGCGGGCGGAGGGTGCGCGCCGGGGCCGTCCCGCACCAGCTCCCCGGCTCTCTGCATTTCCTTTCCTCCAGGCCGGGGGGCGCGCGGTGCCGAGCGATGACCCTGCGCCCACCTCCGGAGAGCGAGCCGGGGCGGGGTCTTCTCTGCGGCCCCCACTTTCTCCGACACCCCCGTCGCCGTGAGCCAGGCGAGCAAATTCCTGCAGAAGCCCCGGGGTGCGGGGTCCCCGCCGCTGGGCGCCCGGGGGCTTCCAGTCCCTCCGCCTCCCTACCTGTCTTCGCTGGCGCCGGGAGGCTGCAGCCAGGGCCGCTCCGTCGGTGCCCGCCCAGGCCCAAGCCCGCGAGGTCGGCCGGGCCGCAAGGAACGCCCGCAGGGGTGGGACTTTCTCTCTCCGCCGCTGCCTGGCCTCACCCTCCACCCCGCCCTGTCTCACTTACCCACCTCCAATCCCCGTGGGAGGACAGAGCCCTTCGTAGAGGCCCTCGTGGTGACCGGTGTTGCCCGGGGCCTCCACCCGCTTGGGTCTGTGCCAAGGCTTGGCTCATCCTCCACTCTGGTCACCCCGTCTGTCCTCTCTTGGGTCAGCGCCAGTCACCTCTCCAATCCCATTTCCCCTTGCCCAAGCCTTCTAGCTTTGCCCTATCCGCTCCTCTTCATGCCTATCCTACACACAACACACCTGTGTCCAGCCACCACCTTCTCCACCCCTGGATCCTATTCTTCAGCCGCAACTGAGTTTCTCCGCACACGCTGCTGTTACCCATCTCCCAGCACGTTTTCTCACTCAGAATGCGCTCTCCCAATCCCCTCTACCTCTCAAACCCGTAGTCAGCCCTCAAAACCTTGGTCAAATGTCACTTTCCTTCCTTTCTTCTTTCTTTCCCTCCCTCCCTTCCTCTTTTCTTTCTTTCTACTTTCCTCCCTCACTTTCTTCTTTCTTTCCCTCCCTCCCTTCCTCTTTTCTTTCTTTCTACTTTCCTCCCTCCCTTTCTTCCTCTTTCTTTTCTTTCTTTCTACTTTCCTCCCTCCTTTTCTTTTTTTTTTTTTTAGACGGAGTTTCACTCTTGTTGCCCAGGGTAGAGAGCAATGGCTAGATCTTGGCTCACTGCAACCTCCGCCTCCTGGGTTCAAGCGATTCTCCAGCCTCAGCCTCCCTAGTAGCTGGGATTACAGGCGTCTGTATGATGCCTGGCTAATTTTTGTATTTTTAGTAGAGACAGGTTTTCACCTTGTTGGCCAGACTGGTCTCCAACTCCTGACTTCAGGTGATCCACCCACCTCGGACTCCCAAAGTGCTGGGATTACAGACGTGAGCCACTGCGCCCAGCCTTCTTCTTCTTTTTTTAAATAGAAACAAGGTCTCGCCCAACCTGGTCTCGAACTCCTGAGCTCAAGCAATCTTCCCACCGTGGCCTGCCAAAGTGCCACCGTGCCCAGCATGTCACCTGCTTTTGAAGCCGTCTCCACACCACCCCAGGCCGATGGGGTGCATGTCCTGCTCCCTCGGTTTCTGTCCCTGTTGCTGTGATTTGCTCAGCTGTGAGTCCCGGGGGGCAGGGCCTGCAATGCAGCCCCACCACCTGTGCCAGGGCACTAATTAGCATCAAGGCAGGGGCTCAACGCATGTGATCAACTTCATTTGTTTTCCTGGTTGTCCTTTTTCACAACCAAGACACTCTTTGCCTACCATTCTTTTTTTGAAACTGGAATTCACTCATCTTTAGAAACTGGTCCTGGACACGAGGGAGGTTGGGGGGAAGAAGTTGGGGAGAGGTTGGGGGTGGGGTGGTGGCAAAGGCTGGTCCCCTTCCCCCACGCTGTTCTGCCTTTAGCCCCTTGCTGGCCCTGCCACTTCTCCCTTGGCCTCATTTGGGCAAAGAGAAGTCACCAGCGGGAAGCTCAGCCCCACTTCAGCCCCCTGGCTCCAGCAGCTGCCTGTTTGGACAAAATGCTTATTAGAACATGGCCAGTTTAAATCAGTTTAAATCAGGTGCATTTCTTACCTATCAATGAAGACAGGAGGAGCAGCAGCTGTAGCGGGGCCCCTGGGGAGTTGTGTGAATTCTTAAGCAAAGATAAAGCTTGGCAGAGAAAGGGGAGTGGAATCATGCAGCCTCTCTAAAGAGGAAAAGCGCTTCTTCCATTCAACAAGCCCCACTCCCTGCCCCCACCAGCTGGGACTTTTCTGAGCTTGGTCAAAGGTCCTCTGTTAAGTGGGAGGAAAATGCTTCTCCCGCTGCAGGGTGGGGGAAGCTGAGGCCCAAGGAGCTCACTTTCCTGCTGTGTCCCTGCTTTTCCTATGATCCTTTCTTCTCAGACACCCAGGGCTGTGATTTCTTATGCCTCACGCCAGCTGCAAAGAGGACTCTGAGGTTGGGAGGCAGAACCCACACTCAGTGGTAAGGGACTGTCTTAGACCCACCAGCCAGGCCCTAGCAATTACTGGCTTGGGCAGGAATATTCTCTTTAAGCCTCATTTCTCCTCTGCTTACCTCACAGAGATGTGAACAGAACTGATGCATTAAAATAGGGTGGTTTAGAAAGAAGATTCCAGGAAAAAGTGTAAGACCTTCCTTCCTATTGTCAAGTCCCCTCTGTGCTGGCTCTATGCCACTCAGTGTCTGCACCTGAGACGCCCTCGCATTGGGGGTTTGGGGTAGCCTGGGGCGGAGGCAGACCTGGACTGGAAGGCTGCTCTGCTTCTCACTGTGTGTGTACTTGGGCAGGTCGGGTCACCTCCTTAAGCCACAACTTGCTCACTTGAGACTCATACAGCAGGTGGTAGAGTAGGGAAGTAACTGGTTTCCATAAAATTCCTACTAGATGCAGAATAAAAGTTAGTTCTGATCTGGGCGCAGTGGCTCATGCCTGGAGTCCCAATACTTTGAGAGGCTGAGGAGGGAGGATTGCTTAAGTCTAGGAGTTCAAAACTAGCCAGGGCAACACAGTGAGACCCTCCATCTCTACAATTTTTTTTTTAATTAGCCAGGTATGGTGGCAGTTGCCTGCAGTCCAAGATAGGGGTCCTCAATCCCCAGGCCACGGACCGGTACCTGTCCATGGCCTGTTAGGAACGGGCACACAGCAGGAGGTGAGCAAGCATTACTGCCTGAGCCCCGCCACCTGTCAGGTCAGTGGCAGCATTAGATTCCCACGGGAGCATGAACCCTGTTGTGAACTACTCATGCAAGGGACCTAGGGTGTGCATTCCTTAGGAGACTCTGATGCCTGATGATCTGAACAGGATCAGGCTTTAGACTGGAACAGTTTCTTCCCGAAACCATCCCACCCCGCTCCCAGACCTGAAAAAATTCTCTTCCATAAAACTGGTCCCTGGTGCCAAAAAGGTCGGGTACCACTGGCCAAGCTACTTGGAAGGCTGAGGCAGGAGGATCAATTGAGCCTGGGATGTCGAGGCTGCAGCGAGCTATGATTGCACCACTGCACTCCAGCCCGGGCAGCAGAGCAAGACCCTGTCTCTAAAAAAATTTTTGTTAAATTTCTGTCCTGTGCTCCCGCCATGTGTATCCTCAATTCTCTACATTTTCATATCTCCACAGATTGCAGATCTAAGGATGAGGCTAAGAAAGAAGTGGCCAGATCTCTTTGTGTGGTTGGGTTGGGATGGAAGGCTGGAGAGAAGAGAGAGGGCAAAATGCCAAGAGCCTCGGGGCTCCCAGGATTCACCTCCTCCAGGAAGCCTTCCTGTACATCTGGCTCTGCACTCCCATCGGTGCCGGGCTTTGCCCTAGCACTTTCAAACTACTGCAGTGATGTAGTTGTTTCTCTTTCTCTCTCATAATTGTGAACATTGCAAGGGCAGAGATCCATTTTCATGTTATACCCTGGACCAGAGGTTCATGGTGGCCCTGAAGGTTTGCCTCAAGAGAGGGGCTTTGAGAAGTGTAACTGGTGACCAGCTTCCAGTGGCTGCACTCAGCCCCACACCAGGTTCTGAAGACTCCCCCTGCACCTCCTCCTCCCCGCAATTCATCTTCACAGGCGCTCCCCTGTAGATCTCTCGCACATCTAGTCCCGTCTCAGCCTCTGCTCTCAGAGGGCCTGAACCAACCCTTGCGGTTCTTGGTTGCACATCACAGAAAAGGACTGAGTCAGCTTAAACAGGAGAGTTGCTTAGAAGAGAGGCAATGGGAGATCGCAGATTGACAGGAGGGCTGAAAATCAGGCACATGCTTGGGCTGGACCCCCGACAATGTCCTAGTTGTAGTCCAGGAGCAGTTCCAGTTAGGATCTATGCTGCTCTTCCGCTGGACGCTGAACTCGTGTCACCACCAATTTTAGGCAATGCTGACACATGCCTAGAAAAACCCTGAAGCGTCCTTGTAGACTCACTCCCCACAGGAACATGCCTGTACCCTGATGGCCAGGACCTGAGAAACAAGAATTGGCAGGGTCCCCAGGTGGAAGTTCAGATGGCAGCTGCCCCAGAAAACACATGTCCACCAGGACAGGGTATTTGTTGAACTCCCATTGAACTGAATTTAGAGGATGCTGCTTCCCTCTTCCTTCATTTGGAGGTTGTTCATCCAAATATCTGAGTGCCTACGCTGCGCTAGAAGCTGGGAGAGACCGGCCCAGTGGTGATAACTGTTTAAGCTTCAGCTTGCTGCAGGAGGCAGCACTGCTGTGCAGGTGGATTCTTTCCCATGGCGTTTGGTGTAGATGCTCCCACCATGGCTGTTTTCAAGCTACCAAGGTGACGTCACCAGACGTGGAGTTGGGAAGAGATGCAGTCAGCTCTCCCAGGCGTGGGCTCCAGCTCACTAGGTCTGCTCGGGGAGTTTACACTCTAGTGGGGACTTGCATTCTAGTGCTGTGTGTGTCAGTTTAGACTAAGCTGAGTTTTACAATCAGAGTATTCAAACATTTTTACGATAAAAGTCATAGAACCGATGCCACAGCCCACTAGGAATCCAAAAGGAAAAAAGATACTCCACATCAGAGGCTGCTGCATTTATTTCTCTAACGTCTCCCCACCCCCCAATACATATATTCATTTCCCTTAATACAGTCATTCAAACGCTGGGAACGGCGGGAAGGCGAGGGTCAAAACTCCACTCCGTGCTGTGCTTCCAGACGCCACCTCAACCTTCCTTCCCCCATTGCGTTGCCATATCCAAGTCAGCTCTTTGAAGCACCATGCCAGACCACTGGAGTGGGAATTCAGGGCTCAGTGTGTCTGACAAGTGGCTGTCAGGAGATAAGCCACCTGGCCTTTGGAGGGGAGTTTTACCCTTAAAGCTGAGACAGAAATATATAATAGCTCCTCCCACCCTTCCTGCAGACAAGAAGGCCATCCAGAGGGAAAGAACAGGAATTCCTGGGATGTCCCCTCAGTGACACCAGGCCCACGCTGACTCGGATCCCGGAAAGGGCACCGGGATGCGGGAGAGGCTGTGTGGAGGCAGGACAATGCCTGGGGAAGGAGAGCAGAGACAGTGGGAAAGGAAGGGGCTTTCCAATGCTGTTTCTGACTAGCTCCCAGCCAGCAGCTCCAGCCGGCAGAGATCTCATCCCCTCTGCCCACAGGGGAACACAAACTCCTACCACAGCGACCCCAACCACGGCCTCCTTTGGAGAAGCTGGTTGAGACATTAAGGGAGCTGCTGTGAGGAACCCACCCTCACTTCCCAAAGGGGAGAGCAGCTCCTGGCCCAGACCCCACAAAGGTCGGTGTAAGGTGTGGAACCAGCTCAAGAGCACAGGCCCGGAGCATGTCTCTGGGCCTTGAAGCTCCAGGTGGGCACCCCAGACTCCCAGGCAAGCCTGGTGTCCTGTGGCCGCCTGGTGGCCCCTCGGATGGTTGCAGAAGGCAGCAAGTCCCTGTTCTCTTGTGATGAATCCAGTGAGCCAGGCTCTGAGGTCCCTGGTGCTGTCCCTGGGGGGCTGTCACGGACAGGGGCCCTGGATTGGTAGCCCCAGAGGCCAGCAGTCAAGGCTGTTTAGATCCTTTTGTCTTGGTCTCACCCTCCACCATGCTCCTGGGACACTTCTCATCTACCCTGTGGCTTCAGCCTCTGTACCTGAATGGTTCTCAGCCCAGACATTGAGAGACAGCCTGTGTCTCGGGCCAAAGACCTGGAAACACAACCCAGAAGTCAGTGGGCCAGTGCCTCGCAATCCTAAAACAAGACTTCCCCGAAGCTGAAGGGAGAGGAAATAATTTTTCTTTTCTTTTCTTTTCTTTTTTTTTGCTGCAGTGCTTCTCTAGCTCTCATTTCTGTGGGGACCTGTTATCCTGGACCCCTACTTTATAGTATAATGCCACGGAAAGATGTACAGACACAAAACGGGGTCTAAGCTCTTTATTTTTACAGCTTTCATATCACTGTTAATTCTATATATCTAGGTCCCAATCCCTTATCAGAAACTCTTGAGGCCAAACGTGTTTCAGAATTGAGAATTTTCCAGGCTTTAGAAGTGACTAAACTGCATATTATATAATACTCCCAGCAGGCTGGAAGCCCTCTTTTCACCATCTCGGCTCACTGCAACCTCCGCGTCCTAGGTTCAAGCGATTCTCTTGCCTCAGCCTCCCCAGTAGCTGGGATTACAAGCACACACCACCACACTCAGCTAATTTTTGTATTTTTAGTAGAGATGGGGTTTCACCATGTTGGCCAGATTGGTCTCCAACTCCTGACCTCAGGTGATCTGCCCACCTTGGCCTCCCAAAGTGCTGGGATTATAGGCATGAGCCACCGTGCCTGGCCAGAAGCCCTCTTTTTATGTTTATTTTTTTGAGACGGAGTTTTGCTCTGTTGCCCAGTCTGGAGTGCAATGGTGCGATCTCGGCTCACTGCAAGCTCCACCTCCTGGGTTCAAGCGATTCTCCTGCCTCAGCCTCCCGAGTAGCTGGGACTGCAGGCGCATGCCACCACGCCTGGCTAATTATTTTGTATTTCTAGTAGAGACGGGATTTCACCATGTTAGCCAGGATGGTCTCGATCTCCTGATCTTGTGATCCGCCTGCCTTAGCCTCCCAAAGTGCTGGGATTACAGGCGTGAGCCACCGCGCCCGGCCAGAAGCCCTTTTTAATCAAAACAAATCAACGAGCAAAACCGCCGCACATACACACTCATAGCTCTGCGGCAAAACACACAAATGTCCTCCTAAAGGGCATAAAGTTCAGTCAGGTATTACGGACACATTGATAAGAAACCTTTCAGTTTTCAGAGCTTTGTAAATTTTGCCCATTAAACGCAATATAACGCAGAGCAGATGGGATTCAGATGAGCAGCATTTGTGTGATGTGGTGGGCGGGGTGGCCTACTGGAATCACCTCCTGGTGGTGCCATGAATGTGGTCCAAGCTTGGGGGCAGGAAGTAGGGAGGCACAAAGCCTGGGCAGTCTTGGGTCTACCACTCCTGGCTGTAATATCTCAGGCAAGCCAACCTTCCTGCATGGCAGTTTTCTCATTTTTAAAAGACAATAGATTGATGTAAATAAAAAATAAATACTAAAATTGAAAATTCCCAGGAATCCACCACCCCAAACTCTGAGAACAAAGTGAGGCAGCAGAAAGCTGGAGGTGGCATCCTCTCTGAAGGGGAGTGGCACACACCCGTGTCGACTGGGGCCTCCAGCGCAGGCCTCCAGGCAGCATTGGCACTGAAAGGCAGACTGTGACGGGCTGTCCTGCTCGGCCAGAGTTGGGAGCTGAGGCCTGGCTGGTCAGTGTCTCTCGCACCAGAGCTTGTGACCTTAGCATCACAGGAAGACTGAATAAATAAGGCACAGCTTCTGGGAACATCAACTTTAGGAGTGTGTATGGTGGTGTCATATATTTTTGGTGATGGTTTTTTTTTTTTTTTTTTGAGATGGAGTCTCACTCTTGTCACCCAGGCTGGAGTGCGGTGGCACGATCTCGGCTCACTGCAACCTCCGCCTCCCGGGTTCAAGCAATTCTCCTGCCTCAGCCTCCTGAGTAGCTGGGATTACAGGTGCCTGCCACCATGCCCAGCTAATTTTTGTACTTTTAGTAGATATGGGGTTTCGCCATGTTGGCCAGGCTGGTCTTGAACTCCTGACCTCAGGTGATCTGCCCGCCTTGGCCTCCCAAAGTGCTGGGATTACAGGCGTGAGCCACCATGCCCAGCCGTTTTTTTTTTTTTTTTAACATTAAAACACGTCTACAACAACATGCATGAACCTCAAGGACTTCACGCTAAGTGAAATAAGCCAGTCACAGAAGAATGAATAGTGGGTCGTTCCACTCCTTGTGAGGTTCCTGGAGTAGTCAAATTCACAGAGACAGAGCTGGAATGGGGGTGCTGGAGGCTGGGGCGGGGAGCTGTTTTGTGGTGAGGAAGGAGCTCTGGAGATGGGCGTGTGATAGCTACACATCACTGTGAAGGAACTTAATGTCACCAAATGCACACTCAAAAATGGTTAGGATGGTATATTTTATGTTGTATTTTACCCAGTAAGACAACAAAAAGCATATATTATGAAATAAAACTTTTGGTTTTGGTAAAACTCCAGAGAACTCTCCACCTAAGGCTGCCACCTTGGACTGTGTCCACATCCCTCAGTGTCTCTGTCCTCTGTTGCTTGAGCAGCTTTAGTGAGAAAGTTGAGAAAGGTTGTGAGACTGCGCTACCAAGGCCCACTCAGACGAAGATTCGGTTCATCAGAAATGGGGTCCAGTGCCCCCGTCCTTGACAGTGCTGGAGGCACAGCCTCTCCCACTTACCTGCGGGCAGTGACTCTGGGAGCGCTCCTCCTCCTCTGTAAAATGGGGCTAACAGGCCCTACCCATAGGGTGGGGTGAGGACAGGAGACAATGCCTGTGATGGGCTTGGCATAGTGTCTGTGGCATATTAAGGGACATGCTCAAGGGACATTGGTTTTATGAAGCAGTACCTTCCTCTGTGGCTTTTCTTGGTTAAATGTGGGGTATGTATTAACAACCGCCCTATCCTTTATTCCCCCTGCATCCAATGTGGTGACAATGACCCAGGACAAACCCATACATCTCTCCAGATGTCACAAACGTGAACTGGGGGAGGAATCCTGTTTGTATTCATCCTGACCACCATTTATAAATTCAGGTCTCCTGAAGGGATAAGGCTGGTTGACTTCGGCTCCACACTCTCCAGCACAGCCTTGTAAACAGGGGCAAAAGCTGGTTAATGTTTGTTCTTACTCACAACAATTCCCATGCACATGACCTATTGACATCATTCTGCATGGAAATCCCCTCCCGCAGACCCCGCAGCCACCCCTACAGTCCTTCACTGACTCACCATTTATTGGGCAACTGCCAGGAGTTTAAGAAATGGGACGGCGCCCAAGCTCCCTGGAGGGTCAGGCAGTGGCAAGGTGGCCCCTCGGTCTGTATTTGCCATCCTTAGCTCCTGTCACCGGGCTCGGAGGCATCAGGGTGACCCATCCATTTCCCTTTGCCTGTCCAGGCAGCCAGAGTCTGCAGACAAGGGCGGGGCTCGCTCTGAAAACGACAGGGGCGAGGGAAGACTCGCCAAACCACAGGGAAATGAGAGAATCAGGTCCCCAGCCCCTCCCAGCCCGGGGCAGAATCCTCCAGCAGAGCCATCTGGCAAGGAAGGAGCTTGGAGTGAGAAAAATGCGCTGGAGGTGGGCCCCATCCAGGGAGCGAGGAGCGGAGGGAGGGGCTGCGGGAACATCTGGGTTGGCCAAGTTCCCAGTGGGAAGATGGGGTCAGATTTGTCTTCAGCATTGGGGTGGGCCAGGGGGCCCTCCGCGGAGTGGCAAGGCCTCACCCTCTTTCCCACCGCTATGGAGCACTGCCAGGAAGAGAGAGGGTAAAGGAGCCCATCAGTTGACTGGCAGAGCAGCGGGGCTCCAGGCGGGGTCTTGGTGGCACTCCAACTCTGAGACTTGGAATGGGCCTCCCTTCACAGGAATGTTTACCAAAGTATGTTTTGATTTAAAAACAAAAATCAATTCATGCAATAATTACCAAATGCTTGGAGCACCTTGGCGAACCGTGTTATTACATATCTTTAATGACAAAAGCTGCATAATCACTTATAACATGTCTATGCCTTTATCCATAGTGCAAGAGGGGAAAGAGGGAATTCTGGTCCTTGACAATTGAGAAAACAGAGTCCTCAAAGATGACCTGCCATGTGTGTGGACAGGCAGAGGAGCCGGTCCCTGTCTCCTCCCTCAAGTGGGCTGCACTGGCTCCATCGCCATGGGCCCATCTGACACATGGGGCACCCTGGCTCAGTGGGCAGCACCCTACATCGCCAGTGCAAACAGCCTGTGCCGTCAACAGCACATTAACCCAGGCAGGCTGGCTTCACTTTCAGGTCTGACAGAGGCCAAAGGGCCTAAAATATCCTGAAATTAATTTCTGGATGCCCACAGAAGTAACCTGAGAGCCAGAGAAGGCACATTTACAAAACGTGAAACACTGGCTGGGCACGGTGGCTCACGCCTGTAATCCCAGCACTTTCGGAAGCCAAGGCGAGCAGATCACCTGAGGTCAGGAGTTTGAGACCAGCCTGGCCAACATGGCGAAACCTCGTCTCTACTACAAAAATTAGCTGGGTGTGGTGGCGGGCGCCTGTAATCTCAGCTACTCAGGAGCTGAGGCAGGAGAATCACTTGAGCCCAGGAGGCAGAGGTTGCAGTGAGCCGAGTTTGCGCCACTGCACTCCAGCCTGGACGACAGAGCGAGACTCCATCTCAAAAAAAACACATAAAAATAAAAATAAACAAACAAACAAACAAACTGTGAAGCACTGGCTCAGCTCTCCCAGCCCTGGCCTAGGGGGCAGATATGAAATAAACCAAAGTGAAGGCAGACACCCTTGCAACCGAGCATGGCCTCCAACACCCTCACCGTGTCCTCAGACTGTGCTTGGGCCTGTGCAGGTTCCCCAAGATAAAAAGCCCTTCCCCTTCTGCTGGGATGTTCCAGTCCTCAAGCCTGGTGACATTTTAAACTAGATGACCTTGGAGCTGGGTGATTATAGAGAAGATCCCTGAACTGGGAGCAAGGGGGAAAGGAAAGCTCGGCTAGGAGACACCAAAACAAGGCCTCCCGAGCAGATGTCCCCTGAGGGAGGAGGAGGCATGGAAGCCATTTTCGACATTTCAGAAAATCTGAAGAACTCATACATTCATGTATAAATTTATAAACTATAAATTATAAATTTATAAATCATACATCTAGCCCACATAAGTTAAAACTCAGTTATCTCACTAAATAAGTTTAATACTATTTTATGATATATGTGGGTAAATCTGATTAGTAAACAGAAAAACCAGTTATTACAAGTCATAGGACATTTTTAAAAACCTGAATGCCAGACAAAGTTCCAAATTTCTCTCTTCGGTTTCTCATCGAGCATTTGGAAGAACACTATGTCTCCACCCCTGCATGGAGATGCACTAGCCCTGAAAGCACTCTCTTAAATTCAGGTATTTAAATGTAGTATCATGTTTAGCTCCAGTCTTGCTTCCCCTTTACATCATATGTGTACTCTATCCTTGAGTTTAGTCTACGACCGAGAAAACAAATCACAATCAGACTTTCACCGACAGGTCCACCTTGAGGTATGCTATAGGTTTACTCCATAAGGGTAAGAAAATCCTTTCCTCTTATGCACGAGAAATTGACCTTGGGTTATGTATAGTCTATATCAAATCCTATGCAATTTAAAAAAAAAAAAAAAAGCAGGCCAGGCACGGTGGCTCATGCCTGTAATCCCAGCACTTTGGGAGGCCGAGGCGGGCGGATCACCTGAGGTCAGGAGTTCGAGACGAGTCTGGCCAGCATGGTGAAATCCCATCTCTACTAAAAATATGAAAAAAAAAAAAAAATTAGCAGGGCGTGTTGGCATGTGCCTGTACTCCCAGCTACCCAGAGGGCTGAGGCAGGAGAATCGCTGGAACCCGGGAGGCAGAGGCTACAGTGAGCCGAGATTGCAGCACTCCAGCCTGGGCGACAGAGAAAGACTTCATCTCAAAAAAAAAAAAAAAAAAAAAAAAGTAGAAGAAACAGAGGCAGCAAGAGCATGTCTCCCTTTCTGCCAACAATTAGGACTTGAACAAATTTGGTTCCCGAGGCTTTTCCCGTCTCTCCCTTTGAAGGGCGTGGCATACCAGGCACAGGACAGTCCATGCAAGCACATCAACCTTCTCCAAGCATGGGACACTCCACATGTTGAAAGACCCCTGTGGTAGATTAGGTCATCATCCTCTAGGTCACTACAAGTCATGTGATGAAGGAGATATATTCTAAGTAAATATGAAAACAGATTTGGTTAGCTAATTGGATTTTCCTCTGAATAAATCATCACCTTTATTCAAAAACCAATTATCCATAGGTGTCTCCCAGGTACTTCCGTCTTCCTGATTTTTAGTACAGTATATGTCCTTTGCCTTCTTGGCCAATTCAGGCTTTTTCCCCCTTTCCAAACTGAGTTCAAAACTTTATTTCTGGCTAGGTGCAGTGGCTCACTCCTATAATCTCAGCACTTCAGGAGGCTGAGCTGAGAGGATCACTTGAGCCCAGGAGTTCAAGACCAGCCTGGAGAACAAAGCAAGACCCAGTCTCTACACGAAATAAAAAATAACTAGCCAGGCATGGTGGTGTACACCTGTAGTTCCAGCTACTCAGGAGGCTGAGGTGGATCCTTTGAACCCAGGAGTTCAACAACGCAGTGAGCCATGATCGCGCTACTACACTCCAGCCTGGGCAACAGAGCCAGACCTTGTCTCCAAAACAACAACAAACCTTCTTTCTGAGAAATTTCTGATTTTAAACCCCTGCTTTTGTGGATCTCTCCTTTACTCTTTCTCATTCAACTGACAAGTCAACATTGCACTCGTACTCAAGTATGCTGTCATTTCACTTTTGACCAGATCCTAAGCTACTCTCCACACCGCACACAGAAGGGTCCCCAGGAAGAAGGTGTGGCATGGGCTGACGGAAAGCTACGGGACTTACCTAGAGACACAGGAAACCCAGCCTCACTACCCTTGCTTCTCAACCCTGCTCAAAGTCCGTCCTCATTCTCATCAAGATCACCATTGTCCCATCCTGGTTAACACGGTGAAACCCTGCCTCTACTAAAAATACAAAAAAATTAGCCGGGCGTGGCGGGCGCCTGTAGTCCCAGCTACTCAGGAGGCTGAGGCAGGAGAATGGCATGAACCCAGGAGGCGGAGCTTGCAGTGAGCTGAGATCGCGCCACTGCACTCCAGCCTGGGCAACAGAGCGAGACTCCGTCTCAAAAAAAAAAAACAAGAACACCATTGTCAGGACCCCTAAAAATCAGAAACCTCTCCCAAGTCCTGATGCCTCTGTAGGAGACTCCACAGACACTGCCTAAAAGAGCCATGAAAACAAATGATGCCTCCAATTCTCAAAGGAGGGAATAAACACTCCCTGCTTCCTGATGCCCTTAGCAGATGTAGCCGGGAACACATCAATGTCTTATCTGCCCCCTTCTGAAGACCATGGCCAACTGTGGTTTTTCTGCCATAAATGTATTTCTGATCAATCATTTCCAGATTGTATGTTATTTACTGTTTAGAAACAAAACGTTTTATCAAGTTTGGGGAATGGAGTGAGAGGACATTCTATGCTCTACCAGGTCAATAAAAGTAATGTTGCCTTTTCCCATTAGTGTGACCTAATTTCTTTAAAAAAAATCCTCCAGCACATATCTGCACTGTACAACATACGTCTTATAAGTTTACAGTTTCTTCTGACATATTTACATTAATGTGAAAGTTATTAGAAAAAATATCTTTCAGGATGTATTAAGGATAGCTGCTTTGGGGCTTTTATAAACAGATTTAATATTACACTCTTCAGAGCTGTGGTGTGCTATAATCCATACCACTTTCTTATGAGTTAAGAATAGAAACAATGCATTTGTTTCTAAACTTTTTTTTTTTTGAGACAGAGTCTTGCTCTGTCGCCCAGGCTGGAGTGCAGTGGTGAGATCTCGGCTCACTGCAACCTCTGCCTCCTGGGTTCAAGCGATTCTCATGCCTCAGCCTTCCGAGTAGCTGGGACTACAGGCGCCCACCACCACGCCTGGCTAATTTTTGTATTCTAAACTGTTTCTTGATAAGTGCTAGACAGTTCTGTGAGTTACAGTTATACATTATGATACTTTCATGTAAAAAACACTAGCACAGCTGGATTCATGCAGTCTTTATTAATCTGACAAATACAGAAAATCTGCAATCAGCTATCAAAATTATATCTTACCAAGAATTTGAAAGGTATTTATAAAAAAGGTGTATTCACAGTCTGTCTGAATTAAGTACAAAGCAGTGTCCACAGAAGCAGAAGGCAGACAACATGTGAGAGTAAATGATCCCACTGAAACCCTCACCCCAGCACCTCCAAGGACACCAAAAACAAGACAGTCCTGTACTTGCTACTATATGCAGCTGACTTTGAAACTGCCTAGTCTCAACAATTACGTATTTCAAAAGGAAAATTGCTTTCTGGGAAATCGTCCCTGCTACACAGACACACAGACCAACTGGCAATGCTGCCACCACATGTCAGGGCTCAGGGTGGACCCAGCACATCCACTAAGAGGCACCCTGCTGCCCAAGGCTGTGGGAGACAGCTTTGATGTTCAAGAAAGGGGTTCATTTCAGCACCAGGGTGCTTTTTTATATGCAAATCTGAGGTGTTTCCCGTTAGAGGAGAGGACTATGCAGATGATCACATGCAGATGTCTCTGAGCTGTGAGCCCGATGACAGCTTTGTTGGTACACTCTGGCCAGCCATTTCACAACGCACTATGAAGAGCTGAAACCTCTGTTTTTAATCTCTTGTGTTGTGGGAATTTAAAGAGGTGAGAAGATCACAAGGATCACTTCTAGGCTCAAACTTATGATTATATGATAGTTTCCAGCCCAAGGGCAAAACCAAATGTCCAATTTTCACGTCTCCTTCCAAATTCAATGTTGGAAGGCAGGTGAGGAGGTGAGGAGAAGGGCAGGTCAAACTGTTCCTTATAGACATAACAGCAAATTTAGAGAAGGAGTACTTTACTGAATGGATTGATTTCTGAATCAAGTCACTTTTATAACACCAATGTATAAGCCCTCAGTAATGGTAACTGTTAAAAGTGGTTATTTGACAAATACCCAATATTTTAGAGAAGTTAAAGAAAGATGGCATATACCAGAAAACAAGAGATTATAACTACATTCTGAGAATTTATCTTATTCATCTTTGCATCCTCAGACTCCAGAACCTACGGGAACACAGAAAACACTGAACAAATTTTTTCATAGTGGTTTCTGAGCTCTTTTTCTTCCAGGGTTAGATCACAAATGATCAAATATACAAAGCCTTGGGGGTTGGGATCAAAGGCTTCCCGCAGTCATCTAACCCTGGGAGACCTTATTTGGTAGTTAAACTTATATTTCACACTCTACAAGTTATATCGAGAATACATACACTGTCTGAGGCCACGTAAATAACAAGTAATAAACATCATCTGTTTGGGCATCTATTGCAAAAGGAGGGTTTTTAAAAGCAGAGAGACTACAGAATGGGAATCCCGGAGTCTGAAAGTAAAAACACTGCCTCTTCAGTTGTTGCTTCTGTAGTAAAATCAACAAATTGCTTACTTATGACTGTTTTCTTCCAAGTTGCTTAGAAAGCTTCTACTTTTTCTAATTGAGAAATTGAGTCATTTGGAGTCAGAGCTGTGATTCTAGGAACACACACGAACCTACTGAGAACCAAAAACAGGAAGGTGAGTCTTTCCTCTCTGAAAAAAAATCTGCAAATCTTCCAAATATGATTGGTATTCCCATAGGCATGTAATGACATTCTGTCCATAAATACCCTTTATTCTGTAGCCCAGTCAGACTCAGACTCTTAGTGGCTACTTTCCTTCCTTACTGTCTTCCATCTTTTTATTAAGCAGATTGGCTTGGCTGGTCATACTCTACTGCTGGTTTTGCCCGACTCTATAACCACCGCCTGTCCCGTGTGAGTGAAGGCACATCCTTATGGAAATTGCTACTGTTCTTTCCAGTGACAATCTATTTTTCATGGTGGAAGACTAGCATTTGGATGTTTTAGGAATGACTGAACTAATTCTAAAAAGAATGTTTGAGGGAAAAGTTCTCTGCCTGAGATGAATGATTTAAAGAAATAAGATGGGCTGTAGTCTCAGCTACTCAGGCTGAGGTGGATTACTTGAGCCCAGGAGTTCAAGTCTAGCCTGGGCAACACAGCAAAATCCTGTCCTTTAAAAAAAAAAAAAGGAAAGATAGGTTCTCTGTACACTGTCTAACAATGTGGCTGAGATGTGGCTCAAACTTGGAGAAAGAGACAGAATAATTGCCATCTTTCTACACAGGACAATCAGTAATACATAGGATGGATTTAAATACACACACCCCACGTACCCTCTTCAGAGAAGAAATGTATCATGAAAGGTGCAACACATTTGGGATCCTTACACAAATAAATTACTCTAGATTAGGGATCCCTCAAGAATGCTTCCAATCACAAATTGCTATTCAGGTGGCTTTGCTGTAGCTGTGCTTTCTCAATGATAATACCCATGCTAGCACATGTCTGAGAGAGGGAATGAATCTTGGAAGAAGGGATTTCATGGAAAAAAATGAATTGAGATGATAGAACCTACTACTTTAAATCCCCCTTTCTTTGCATAGCTCTTATTTTTCCTGTCTGTGACTGCCTAATATAAGCCAATTTTAATTTAAATTCAGATCAGTACTCGCACACTACTCTTGAAGTTAGGTTCTTATAAGAAATATCCTGGGACAGAAAACAAATATTCTAAACACCAAAGACAGCCCCAAACCAGGTCATATCATATCATAGATTGGGAGAGAAAACAGCAGGCAAAAGAAGAAAAAGCTGGCCCCTCCTCAGCCACAGGAGGAAACTAAGTTTCTCATAAACGCTTACGGTCTGATCAGCATAGCTAAGGGCTCTCTGTGGTAAAGAAGGTTATGCCCCACAAGCCTTTGTCCAGAGGTGCCCTGAGCCCACACAGGCTGATGGCTGTTTGTGTGTTTTGCCTGACTGAGCTGCCCAGAGCCTGAACTCCATGGTAACTGCAGCAGGCACCTCCACTGCCCAGTTCACACAAAGGTACATTGAGAGGAAAGGTAACGCGGGCAGAGACCACAAAGCACCCATTTGTGGAGCTGACGAGAATAACCTGAAACTCCTCCTTGACATCATTAGCTCACTGTATCCCCTTCGCTGCTGGAGGCCCCTTCTCTTTCCCCTTGGCAGTTGGTTCTCCTTCTGCCACCAGGTTCTCCCACAGCTCACCAAGTTAAATATGGCTTTCCCCAACTCTTGCTTTGTGTTGATACAACTAGTTCATAATTCATCAACCACCAGCTTTTGGCTATTTGTTCAAATTCTGAGCTACTGTGTGGCAAAAGCAAAAACAAAATACCAGGACAGAAAGTGCTTCAACAGCCATTTTACTCTTCTTTAATTCTACCGTCTTTGGGCATACATCTCATTTGCTGTGGAAGAAGGTCTGACAGCAGGGCTGACAGCACCGATTCATAACACATTCTTTTCATCATACAAAGAGTAAGACCCTAGAATAATGGGACCATCTGCTACCACGACAGAGCTGCCTTACTGGCTGTAGAAAAAGACTGCTTGTGTGGGAGAGAAGAATGAGGACAGAGGAGGCATCTGGGGCAAGTGAGCGTACAAGTATGTCTACAAATTCAGAATTTGGTGGAAAATCCAAATTTGACTTCAACATGATAGAGAATTGATGAGAAATAGCTGTACTGTTTCCAAAATTTACTGAATTTGGAACCTGAGGTTAAAACTTTTAGGATAAAGCAACCTCAGGTTCAGACTGGCCTTGGGAAGAAATGGCAATCACAGACGGTAATGAGTGTCAGTGCTTGAGAAGAAGAATTGCCAAAGGCAATCTACATATTTGACTTGACTCAAAGAGAGGGGAAAACAAGTCTCATTTAAAAAGGATGAGTCTGCAGCAAAAAATCAAAGGGAAGCTGGAACCCCTGCCCACCTCTCCATTCCCCATTCTGCTGCTGGTGCCTGCTCTTCCTCACAGTACCTCCTGAAAAGTTCAGAATTCAGTTAATACAGAATTATTGGGTTGATTTTCAACGTGTAGTTTAAGATGAAGAGTTCCGTTTGGTTTAAACCACTTCACCTAACCTCTTGGTAACGGTAGTCCTGAGAGTTCGCAGTGTCAGTGAAATCGTCCTGTGACCACGCGTCAAGCTGCTGATGGGGCACAGCAACTTCCGGGCCTATCATATCTCCTTGACCTCGTCCCTCAAATCTGGTAGTTTCTGCACCGAGGGACACAGTCCACTGCGATGAAGTATGTTCAAAATCGTTTTCTATAGGCACCTCCTTCCAAAGTCCAATAGTGCAAGGTGGTCAGGAAGACTTGGAAGGAAGCTGCAAAAGTCCAGCCGGGAATCTTGACTTTGTTAGATGTGGACACAGGAAAATCACCTTTGTCCTCCCCAGATTTTGTTATAGTCAAAGAAGAAACATCCATGGGATTCTAACCGCAAATATGCTAGATATAAAATTGATGGAATGCTAATTGGTCCATAAAAGGCTGTACAAGATAATCTGTGGCAAAGTAGAAAACAAGCCCAAAGGTGATGGAGATTGGAAGAGCTGGCAATGCTTTCTTGAAAATGGCAAGGAGTAATAATGTAAGGCACAAACCCTGTGGAGAAGATGGGAAAGACACACATTCACACATAATTATGAAAGCATTTTCAGGCAAAACTCAATCACAAGTCTTGGTTTTTAACATAGTTAACTGAATATTTTCCTTTTGGGGTTAAATTTTAGAACAGACGTTCATTCAATCTGGAAGAAGAGCTATGAAAAAAACCTAGCTTTTGTTTGTTTCATAGGGTTCATTATGCACACATTGTTATTTTATCCCTTAATTCTAGTAAAGAAATAGAATCTGAAAATAAGTAAAACTACTTTGAAAAAAATTAAAAGATACAGAAATTTCTATCTTAAATGATGTGTTGGCCTCTGTGATTTTAGTTTGGCTGGTTAAAAACCCAGAGGTGAAGAGCATTCTCTATGCTGTGCGGGGGCTTCTCTATGCTGTGCGGGGGCATTCTCTATGCTGTGCGGGGGCTTCTCTATGCTGTGCGGGGGCATTCTCTATGCTGTGCGGGAGCATTCTTTATGCTGTGTGGGAGCATTCTTCCCGCACAGGCTCCTCCGTGAAGCATGATGAGGCTGCAGTGTTTAAAAAATAAAATAAACTAAAAGTTTATTTATGAGGAGTACACTGCTTTCTTGTAAACACATGTACAAGCCATATAATAGAGTTCATTTTTTACCCTAGTTACGGAAACACTAGAAAGTCTTCACCCGGCCAAGATAACACATCTTTAGTAAAAATAGCAAGAAATATTTTATGGGTTGTTTACTTAAATCATAGTTTTCAGGTTGGGCACAGTGGCTCATGCCTGTAATCCCAGCACTTTATGCGGCTGAGGCAGGCAGATCAGTTGAGGTCAGAAGTTTGAGACCAGCCTGGGCAATGTGGCAAAACCTCATCTCCACTAAAAATACAAAAATTAGCCAGGCATGGTGGTGCACACATGTAATTCCAGCTACTTGGGAGGCTGAGACAGGAGGATCGCTTGAACCTAGGAGGCAGAAGTTGCAGTGAGCTAATGTCACTGCACTCTAGTTTGGGCGACAGAGCAAGACTCTGTCTCCAAAAAAAAAAAAAAAAAAAAAAGCCAGGTGCGGTGGCTCACGCCTGTAATCCCAGCACTTTGGGAGGCCGAGGCAGGCACATCACTTGAGGTCAGGAGTTCAAGAGGAGCCTGGCCAACATGGTGAAACCCTGTTTCTACTAAAAATACAAAAATTAGCCGGGCGTGGTGGCAGGCACCTGTAATCCCAGCTACTCGGGAGGCTGAGGCAGAGAATCACTTAAATCTGGGAGGCAGAGGTTGCAATGAGCCGAGATTGCACCACTCCAGCCTGGGTGACAGAGACTCCGTCTCAAAAAAAAAAAAAAAAAAAATCATAGTTTTGAAAGCTTCAGGGTTCATGCTGTAGCACTATCAGCAAGATCTATGTGGGGTCATGCATGGCACCAGCTCCTCTCACTAGATGCTTGCTGTCTTAAGTAACACTGCATGCTACAGGTTGTGTCATTAAATGCAAAACCACCACCAAACTCTCAGTGATTAAGTCCAGGGACTAAGGAAGGATCTGTTTATCCCTGTAAGACCAACCTTACAGAGCTAATTTCCTACATATCTGTGCTGCTAGGCTTGAGGCAGCGGTTCCTAAACAGAAATACCAGAATTTCCTGGGGAATTTTAAAAACTACACAATTAAATTGAGTAAGAATATCTCAGGGCAGAGCTTACAGTTTTAAAAGCTCCCAAGTGATTCTAATGTGTGGCCAGGGTAGAGAACTACTAAGGTGAGGTCCAATTATCAAAAAGCTCCTCAGATAGCTGGAATATTTAACCCACCTGGGGTTAAAACAGAACTGCCTTAAAGGGACTGTGTAATCAAAGTTTTGACATTAAGAGCTCTGACACATTCTTATTAGTGTATACTTACAATTAATATGGCTACGAAACAGGCTATGGTTGTGTTCCAGTCTCCACTGGCTGTTGCTGAGGCTTTACCAACCAGAACACTGTAGAAAATGAAATCTCCCAATCCAAGTTTTACTCCCCCTAAAAAGGAAAGGTTACAAATATTAAAAAGTTGGTCACTCTTTGCTATGATTTCACAATTCAAAAATATCACTGCCCTACTCAACCCCACAATGAATGAGAGAAGTCAGTAAATGATATACAAAATTAGGCTTCAGCTGTGTTTTCTTTCTTTTTTGGTTTTCTACAATAGGAGTTCCAGATTCTATGTGACTGACTCTGGAGTCTTAACTGTAGATGCTGCTGTTATTTATCAATAACAATAATAAGTAATAATCGTCATCTATTGAATATATAGTTTATACCCAGCACTTGTACTAAGAAATCCTTACAAGAATTCTGAGATAGGCATCATTTTATCATATTAATTAATATTTTTTTTTTTTTTGAGATGGAGTTTTGCTCTGTGGCCCAGGCTGGAGTACAGCAGCATGATCTCGGCTCACTGCAGACTCTGCCGCCCAGGTTCAAGCGACTTTCCTGTCTCAGCCTCCTGAGTAGGTGGGATTACAGGCGCATGCCACCATGCCTGGCTAATTTTTTTATTTTTGATGGAGACAGGGTTTCACCATGTTGGTCAGGCTGGTCTCGAACTCCTGACCTCATGATCCACCCACCTTGGCCTCCCAAAGTGCTGGGATTACAGACGTGAGCCACCACACATGGCCTATCATCTTATTTTTAAAAAAGCTTCATTGGACTATGATTTACCTCATAAAACTGGAAGACATGATTCAATGATTGTGGAAAATTAATAGAGCTGTACAACTATATATAGAGAGAGCTGTACAATTTAACTATCATCACAATCCACATGTCCATTGCCCCAGTCAGGTACCTTGTACCCGTTTACAGTTAATCCCCACTCCTACCCTAGGCCTTAAGCAACCAGTGATCTGCTTTCTATCTCAATAAATTTGCCTTTTCTAGACATTTCATATGACTCATACAATACATGCCTCGCCTATTTTACTTAATATAATGTTTTTGAGGTTTAACCATGATACTGCATGTGTCTACAGTTTCTTGGAAGTTATTGGAAGCTGAATGGTTTTCCATTATATGGTTTGCTTATCCATTTACCAGTTGATGGACATCTGGATTGTTTTCAATTTGGGGCTATTCTGAATAATGCTGCTATGAACATTTATGTCCATGTCTCTGTGGGGACGGACTGTTTTCATTTCCATTGGGTAGACTCCTGGGGGTGCAATTGCTGGGCTATGTAAGTTTAGGTTTTTAGCTTTTTAATAAACTGCCAAATCACATTCCACACTGGCTGTACCAGTCTGAATTTCCACCAGCAACAATTGAGAGTTCCAGTTTTTTCACATCCTCACCAGCTCTTGGTATTGTTAGCCTTTTTCATTCTAGCCACTCTGATTAATGATGTTGAGCATCTTTTCATGTGCTTTTTAGCCATTATATATCTCTTTTGGTAGAATGTCTAGTCAAAGCATTTCCCTATCTTAAATTTGGGCTATCGTCTTCGTATTAAGTTGTAAGCATCCTTTATATATCCTAAATACAAGTCCTTTAACAGGACTTCAATATGATTTGCATATATTTTCTCTCAGCTGGTAGCTTATTTTCCTTTTTTTTTTTAAGTGATCTCGGCTCACTGAAACCTCCACCTCCCGATTTCAAGCAATTATCCTGCCGCAGCCTCTCGAATAGCTGGGATTACAGACATGCGCCACCACGCCCGGCTAATTTTGTATTTTTAGTAGATATGAGGTTTTACCATGTTGGCCAGGCTGGTCTCAAACTCCAAACCTCAGGTGATCCACCAACCTTGGTCTCCCAAAGTGCTGGGATTACAGGTGTGAGCCACCACACCTGGCCTTATTTTCCACTTCTTAACGGTATTTAAAAAAAATTTTTTTGGCCGGGCACAGTGGCTCACACCTGTAATCCCAGCACTCTGGGAGGCTGAGGTGGGCAGATCACTTGAGGTCAGGAGTTCAAGACCAGCCTGGCCAACATGGTGAAACCTTGTCTCTACTAAAAATATAAAAATTAGCCGGGTATGGTGATGTGTGCCTGTAGTCCCAGCTACTCGGGAGGCTGAGGCAGGAGTATCGCTTGAACCTGGGAGGCAGAGTTGCAGTGAGCTGAGATCCCAGCACTGCACTCCACCCTAGGCAACGAGCGAAATTGTCTCAAAAAATAAAAAAATAATAAAAATTTAACTGTGGTAAGATACCCATCAAGTTTAACATCTTAACCCTTTTTAAGTTCACCGTTCAAAGACACTAGGTATAATCGTATCATTGTGCTACCATTACCATCGTCCATCCACAGAACTCTTTTCATCTTGTAAAACTGAAACTCTACACCCATTAAACGACCCTTCATTTCCCCTCCCCTTAACCCCTGGCAACCACCAGTCTACTTTCTGACTACTCTGATGTAAGTGGAATCATACAGTATTTTTCTTTTTGTAACTAGCTTATTTCACTTAGCACAAAGTACTCAAGATTTATTCATGTTGTAACATGTCAGAATTCCCTTCCTTTTTAAAGCTGAATAATAAAACTGAACAAAAATTTTAATTAGAAATGTAAGACATTTTTATTTATTGTGAAGGTAGTTGGTCTTTTTTTTTTTTTTTTTGAGATGGAGTTTCGCTCTTGTTGCCCAGGCTGGAGTGCAATGGTATGATCTCAGCTCACTGCAACCTCCACCTCCCAGGTTCAAGTGATTCTCCTGCCTCAGCCTCCTGAGTAGCTGGGACTACAGGCATGTGCCACCACAATGGGCTAATTTTGTATTTTTAGTAGAGGTGGGGTTTCTCCATGTTGGTTGGGCTGGTCTCGAACTCCTGATCTCAGGTGGTCCGCCTGCCTTGGCCTTCCAAAGTGCTGGGATTACAGGTGCTTGAGCCACTGCGCCCAGCAATAGTTGGTCTTTTAGTGAATTTCAAGATATACTTCCCACAGCCAACATGCCAGTAACAAGCTCATCCTAAGTGTACTAATGATAGATTGTTTCTTTTTATAACCAAGTAATATTCCATTGTATGAATATACCACATTTATTATCCACTTATCAGTTAATAGACATGTGGGTTGTTTCTGTTTTTACCTGTTATGAACAATATTACTATGACCATTGTATATGTGTCTTTGTGTTGACATATGTTTTAAAATTCTCTTGAGTATATACCTAGGAGTAGAATTACCGGGTCATATTTAATCTTTCAAAGAACTACCGAACTGTTTTCCAAAATCACTATACTATTTTACATTCCCACCAGCAGTGTATGAGGATTCCAGTTTCTTCGCATCCTCACCAACACCTGTTATTGTCTATCTTTTTTATTATAGCCAATCTAGTGAGTATGAAGTGGTTTTGATTTGCATTTCCTTGATGGCTAATGATGCTGAGTATCTTTTTATGTGTTTACAGATCATTTTTACATTTTCTTGGGAGAACTAAACATTCAGATCCTTTGATCAGTTTTCTAATTAAATGTTAAATGTTGACTTTTAACAGATTGCTTTAGAAGACATTTGTGCCTTTTAGCAACTGACCTATAGTGTCAACTGAACCTTTTGGTAAGTACCCACAAGTCTGGTTTAACATGCTCACACCATCAGAGATGGTGACACGTGTGCTGAATGCTAAGATGATGAAGCACGTCCGTTATTACTTTGCATTGGCTTCAGAGAAAGAAAATACTGATCTGAAGTTAGCAGGAGCAATACTTGATAGTTTCACTTTTTTTTTTTTAAAAGTTGGAGACGAAGAGGAGGAGGACACAAAGAGCCCTCTCAGGAGAGGGAATCGTCAAATTAGAAAAGGCAGTCATGAAAGAATTATGCTGCTGCTCTGGTCAACAACTATTATGTTATTTCCTCTGGCTCCTGGTGCCTGTGAGAAAAGAGGAAAGTAGAAGAGGCAACCTAATTACTGTGGTAACTGAGGGCAGAACAAAGTCCCAGCAAAGGCAAGCTAAAGCCTGCTGTAAGAGCAGGCAGATACGTCTACTTTTCCAGGAGTGTGAAAGTCACAGGCTGCAGCTGGGCTTTGATATCTGGAAAACTCAGCCAAGCAGTAAAGTCATGAACATGCCCAGTGAAAGTTCTGACTCAGTTAAAAAACTGAGGACAAGGTGTAAAAAGTGTTCTCCTCAAACTGATGGATATGTCAAGGTCATAATAATTAGTGACTAATGATTAAAGATGCTAAGGAACCTAGGTGTTTGTTTCCTTAAAACTACTTAATATTCTTGTTGTAATGTTTTAATCAAGTTTCACTCTTGCAAAAACAAGACAACCAAAAATAACTTGGTTGGAAAATATGCTAAAGTCTTATTCAATGAACCACATCTCTAAGACTAACTGAAGAGATGACTGAGCCCTAACCAAAGGGCTTTAGTGGCTGATAATGTTCCTAAGAAGCCCTAAGTGTTAACTTAAATCCATCAAGTGGCAACACATCTTAGACACTGAAGAAATACTTGCATTTCTGCCAATATCCTAAATCCCTTTGATTTTCTTTAAAATAAAATATAGCACTTGTCAACAAAAGGAATAATAATGTACAAGGTTGTATCATGCAAATCCACAGATCTCTCTACAGCAGAGTGAGACATATTAATAAAATTTTTGTAGACAAATGTATTACGGCCATGAAGGCTTACTGGAACAATTAAAAAAACAAATCTTTTACTTTATAAAATAAATGCCAAAAGGTCAGGCTGTAAAATGCCAACTTAAAAAGTCTGAAGGGAGGCCAGGTACAGTGGCTCACGCCTGTAATCCCAGCACTTTGGGAGGCTAAGGCAGGCAGATCATGATGTCAGGAGTTCAAGACCAGCCTGCCCAAGATGGTGAAACCCCATCTCTACTAAAAATACAAAAATTATCCAGGCGTGGTGGCGCACGCCTGTAGTCCCAGCTACTTGGGAGGCTGAGGCAGGAGAATCACTTGAACCCGGGAGGTGGAGCTTGCAGTGAGCCAAGATCGCACCATTGCACTCCAACCTGGCGACAGAGCGAGACTCTGTCTCAAAAAAAAAAAAAAAAAAAAAAAAAAAAAAAAAAAAAAAAAGCACTATTACTGATATATCCAAATAAAAGTTACATGTGATATAGAATTAGACTGTAACACTCTCAATTCATTTTATTCTCAAAAAGGTTGATAATGTAGCTACCTAAAGGAATCCATGACTTTGCAACATAGAGAAATGCACATACTTTCCTCTGGGTCTTCACCAGCGAGGATACTGCTGGAAAGTTCCTGGACAGCAGCTCGTGACTCAGGTGTAGAGCGATGAGGCCCTAGATGACTGTCCCTCTGGGCTTCCCATTCCTCACTGAACCCGCCATCATCATTCTCTGCAACAGTGTCTTGTGACTCCCTTTCTGTGCCTTCAAGAGAAAGTGGAAGTTACAGCTCTAATATTTAGAAAAATTTAATACCTTTAAGAAAATTACATGGAAACAGTAACTAGCTGTCATTGTAACTAGCTGGCCCTTAAACCACAAAGCATGGGCTGTAGCAGTGCCTGCTGGTAGTTTATCCAACAGCTATTTTCTCCTTTATTTCCTGAGGGCAGAATCCTGAATTGTTTGGGTTCCCACCCCCTCCCACATGACTCTGGTGGTGAATCCTGACCAAGCCAAGCCAAGCACGGTAATCCCACCAAGCCTCTTCCTAACAAAAGCTCTAAGGTTGTGGGGTTGTAACTTGGTATGAACCTATGAGTGGTGAAGCAAAGTCCACCGGGATTCCTGGGAAAATTTTTCTCACTCTTTAAGAGAGACTAAAGGAAAAAATAAACAGTCCCCTTCTACCCCTGAATGTTGCCTTATCTAGACATGATGCCTAGAACTACAGCTGTCATGACCACGAAGAGCAGTGGGCTGAAGACCAAGCCTATAAACTAGTGATGGTAGAGTAGGAAGTTGGGCTACTTGAAAACATCCCTGAGCCACCAAATTAACCAACCCTACAAATTTCAAATGCCTACACCTCAGGCCTTCCTGTCACGTGAAAGAATAAATTTCTTCTTTGTTTAAGGCAACTGAGTTGGGCTTTTTATCTTTTGCAACTGAAAGCTTCCTAACTGTTGGCACTCATCCCTGGATTTGGTGACAAAATTATAAAAGTGGCTTCATTCTGGAGGGTGGATTGGGAAAGGAGCGGGGAGTGAATGTCTTTATGGGCCAGTCATTTCATTATAATGACTATCAATCTCATTGAAAATGGTGAGCATGATAGTCTTAAAAAACTTCCATACATTAAAAATAATTAAAATATATAAGTGAAGTTCAAAGTACTTTTATTCTTCCTTCATTTTTTATAAAAGTAATACATGTTCAGAGCAGAAGTAGATTTGCCATGAATAAGTAAAGCTTGTAAGCTTCAGGGCCCTTCCTTGCATGGCTTCCTCTGGGAGAGCCCTCACAATTTTGTATTGATAGTTTTGTATTCTTTTTATTATCCAGATCTCCAAAAACCTGAATCTTCTCTGGTTTGGAGTTTATGAAATAATATAAGAATAAGATTTATAAATGAAAACAGCAGTCCCTTTTCTACCCCCTCCCTCCTCACTTCTGATACTCATTCCTACCTTAAACTCTTTTAGCCATCCCTTTTGGTATTTACCTCCATAATTAATTATAAGTAGCATGCTCATTGTGCCATAACTTGATGTTTTAATTTGAGGTACTTATTCACCTCCTATAGAGAAGATAAAGCATTAGGTCTCATCCTTTAGTGCACGCAAATGTAACTCTTCCTGTCTTCCCAGTGCCATAACCTTATATTAAATTCAGCTTTATATTCTCACTATGCAAATAATATTCACAACTAAACTACTTTGCTATAGCCAGAATATACTATAATTACATTTGCTTTTTTGAGCAAGTTTTTGTTTTCTTTGGAAAACTGCCTCATTTTTTTCCACTGATGAATTTTATATTATTATCTATGACTAATTTATCCTGAAATGCTCTGACAGAGCTCAACCACATCAGGTAATCTCTCAGTTCTTTTGTTTGTTTTTTCCTTACACAGATATCCCTCTTGGAGCCCTATGCCCTTTTGTTCCAATGTAACTTCTAGTTCCGTTAACACAGTGATTTTTCAACTAGGGATAGCACCTCCCTTCCGGGGAGTGTTTGGAAATAACTAGGATGGAGGAGTTTTTGATTATTGCAAAGCCTTAAAGCCATTATTGGCATTTAGTGGGTGAGGGGCCAGGGATGTTAAATATCTTGCAATATGAGGGAAAGTCCCACAAAGAACTGTGCCCCCCAAAATACCAGCAGCATTCTCACTGAGGAAGCCTGCAGTTCATCCAGCCTTCTCATTTCAAAGCCCTTGCTCATGTTGTCCCTCTCTTGGAAAGCTCTTCCTCCATCCTTCAGCGGGCCGTCCCCTATTACCACTTCCTCAGGGAAGCACCCCTTGACTTTCCAGGATACGTAAAATTCCCCTATTATAAACTTTCATAGCAACTTATACGTCTTCTTTGTAGTACCTATCACAACTGTATGAATTATTTATGTAATAATTTGTTGACCATCTATCTCTCCAAATAGACTATAAGCTCCACAAGGGCAGGGGAAATCTTGTTCAGTGCTATATCCCCAGGGCCTAGCACATAGTCAGGTGCTCAGTCAACATCTGTAAAATGAATGAAATTCTGTTGTATCACTCACTCACATACATATATACCTACATGCTCACAGACAATCATTTGATTTTCTTTAGCTTAACACAGGTTAACACAAGAGCCAGGCTTGTGGCAATTCTTTCCAGTATATTTCTTACTTTTCTATCAGGTTTACTAGTGGTCTTGATGGCAGCAGCGGCCCATCTGGAGTGGCTGCTGCAAAGATGGCAGCTGCAGCAGGGGAGGTGCAGCTGGGGCAGCATGCTCTGTGAGCTGGCAGGAGCCAGGAACAGGCGGGAGTCCTGCCCCCTTCTGAGTTGGTGGGGCAGAAGTCCCGCACTCCCACAGCTGCAGCTTCCCAGCTGTGGCTGTAGACCTGGGCATCCCTGTGCTCTCAGGGGTCCAGGAAGCCCCTTGCGTCTGCAGGCTCCGATTTCAGAGCAAAGTTGTGGCTGAGGCTGGGTGCTGTCATGACCTGGCCGGGTGTGCGGGCGCTTGGGGCAGCACTGACATGCCAGCCCCCTGCCACCTTGGCCCCCTCTGGACTTTGGGTGCTGACAAGCATGGGAGGGAGACTGAGGAGGGGCTGAAGGCAGCTTACCGTGGGCCTGCAGGCACCCTTTGGCATGAACAGCCTGGGTGCCATGGGAGCTATAGACAGCAGGTTGATGGCAGCAGGAGGCAGACAGGCTCCTAGGCGGAAAGGGGAAGTTCCCTGGTGAAGCACCACCTCAAGTCAGGGAAAGCCTGAAGCCTGGAGGCCAAGCTCCCAGTTCCACAGACCACAGTGAGAACTTATGGTGCATTTTCTGGGCCTGCTCATGGCCACCCATGGACCCATCAGCATGTACTTCCTCCCCTCTGAAGCCCATAAAAACCCCAGACTCAGTCAGACTTGGGCAGATGAAGGGACAACCTGCCTGCAGAAAGAAGCTACCCACTCCGGGTCTCCTCTCCACTGAGGGCTGCAGAGATGATGGGATGACCTGCTTGTGGATAGGAGATACCCATTCCGGGTCTCCTCTCCACTGAGGATTACAGACATCAGGATGACCTGCCTGCAGACAGGAGCTACCCACTCCAGGTCTCCTCTCCACTGAGAGCTGCAGAGACAATGGGACGACCTGCCTGCAGATAGGGTCTCCTGAGAGCTGTACTGTTGCTCAATAAAGCACCTTTTCATCTTGCTCTCCCTCCAGCTGTCCACGTACTTCATTCTTCCTGGATGCAGGACAAGAACTTGGGACCCATTGAATGGCAGGATTGAAAGAACCGTAAGACAAACAGGGCTGAAACGTGCCCCCCACTTGCCACGTTGCAGGTGGCGAGAAGGAGAGAAGAGAGGAGTGAAGAGATGTGGCCCTTCGGGGAGTCCAGACTCAGGAGTTCCCTAAGCCAGGGCTATGACCCCCCTCTTTGGGGTTCTGCAGTTCCTGGCATCTCCAAGCTTCTGGGTGCCCCTGTGTTCCCCAGGTTAACACAAGGTTAACACAAGAGCCAGGCTTGTGGCAATTCTTTCCAGTATATTTCTTACTTTTCTATCAGGTTTACTAGTGGTAGTGGCCTGTAGTCAAAGCTGCTTAGGTAATGCCTGGTCTAGCTGCAGCAGGGAGCTAGTACCTGAGGCTGCCTGCCCTGCTGCAGCCAGCATGCCTGGCTGTGTGCAGTGGCTGGACCCTGCACTCACTTGCTCATGCACTCCTCGCTGCTCCATGCCTGGCTTGCCTTTGGCAGGCATGGGGTCCAGCTGGTAGAGAAAGCCAAGCATAGCCAGCTAGGCTGAGTAGGTGGAATGAGCCCAGTGGGCCTGAGCAAATCTCAGGAAAAGGTGCCACCAGCCACAGAGGTTTCTGGCTAGCAAAGTCACACCCTAAGGATCCCGTGAGAGTCTAACATGACCTTGTTCTGCTGCCTTGCTTACTGTATAATAAAGACTCACATCTCTGAGTTCCAAATAGGAATTCCTGGTTGAAAGTATCTTCCTTGCAGTTGCCTAAATGCTAACTCTGTAGATTTCCTGGCTTTATAAAACATAAACTCTCCCTTTCCTGACAAACAGCAACTCAATTAAGGCCTTTTTTTCCTCACCAATATTTACTGTGCCTGTTGTTTTTCAGATTCCTCATAAAAGTTAGCCCTTTTTTTAGACTATTTATATTGTGCTGTTATTCCTCAACCCTTTCTTTTTTTTTTTAGTGTGTGTGGGAAGGTAGCCTCCATTCCAGAAAACTGAATGAAAGCTCCCCCTCAACTCCATCTAATAACAACTTCTAACTTGTGTTCTCCTTAATATGTTCTGTAGTATCCTTAGAGGGCCTTTCACTCTCTTATCCTAAGTCATTATTATTATTCATTATTATTATTATTTTTGAGGTAAGGTATAAGTTGCCCAGGGTAATCCGGAACTCCTTAGCTCAAGTGATCCTCTTGCCTTGGCCATGTAGCTGGGACTACAGGCACACATCACTGCACCCAGCTCATCCTAAGTCATTCTTATCCTCTTCTAAAAAGTCATATCCACCTAGAATATTTGATCTTCTCAGTATACACATCAGCACATCTCAAATCATATTTCAGTTATTCTGGCCATGTTAGACAAGAGGTTCTCATTTTTATGTTGTTTATATTTTGCTTTTTTTGTTTACTTATTTTTCCTTTATTGTCTGTTTCTTTTTTGTTTCTTTTAGGAGATTCTTACTTTTACATGTTTGGAGAGAGTTTATTTTTTCTTTTTAAAATCATGACTTATAAAAAACAAACAAAAAACAAAAACAAAATCATAACCTCAGCCTGAACCTTTCCATGCTGGTATTCTGTATTTAATGGGAGGTGTCTTAACCTAGGATGCTTTGACTGTATTGTTGGGTTTTGAGTATCTGAACTCCTTAAATACTTATCTGTGTATTTACTGGGCATTATCATAGTTCTCAAGAGATTCTCAAAGGAGTCTATGACCAAAGAAAGACGATAAAAACATTGCTATACTGTTAGCTTATAACAGTGACCCTGAAAAATCAAGATATTATCTAATAAAAGTTACCTACTTTCTGCATTATACTTGGAATTTTTGGATACTCTCCTTTGAGCTTCCGGGTCTCCTTCTGCCATATTCACCAACCACACCATTGTTGCTGTTGGGAAAGACAAAATTCCAGGTAAGCACTGGACACACAAAGTATGCATAGACAACAACAAGCCATCATTTCTCCACACAAATCGCCAGTCTTCCTAATGCTGCCTTAAGACTGTTCAACAATCAGAAGTAAAAATAAAAAAAAGGTTCTCTTTGGTTTTAGCAGGTAAGAGAAGAAGTTCTGAAACTGAATGTTTACTGTAGTACTCAAACTGCACCTGCTATCACAAAACTCTTCATCATTTTTAGTCCCTGAAAAGGAACCAGAAGGAAAACTGTTCAGGCCAGCAAGATTCCACTGAAACAATAGCTGGACTAGTTGAATGTTCTAAATTCCAGGACAAACTGGAGCTCACAAAAGCCTCAGATGGTGATTATAATTCAAAAGATGCACAGAGTAAATTTCCTTCATATTATGTCTCATTTTTAGAATGTTCAATAATGCTAAACCATGTTTTAAACCCGGCGTGAGAAAAAACGTTAAAAGCAATAAACATAATAGGGATAGTCAAGAGGCCTCCTCTGTGCCCCTTCTACAAAAATACATGTATATCAATATATCAATCTAGATCTAGATATACACATGTGCATCTCTACCACATTTTAGTTCAGAGACATTGTGAAAACTTTAAAATGGTGCTTCTCTCATATATTTCAGGCAGGAATGAAAAATGGTATAATCCCCACTGGAGGGAAATTTGGTAACATCTAATAAAACTACATGTGCATTAATCCTTTAACCCAGCAATATTACATTTTGGAACTTATCCTGAAGATACACCAACAATAACACAAAAGTACATATAAGCAAACACATGACATATGAGGTTATGGTGGGAACCAAATGCCAGCAGCAAGCTGAGTCCAATCTGGTCACAGTAATTTTTTTTTTTTTTTTTTTTTTTGAGACAGAGTCTTGCTCTGTCACCCAGGCTGGAGTACAGTGGCATGATCTCGGCTCACTGCAAGCTCCGTCTCCTGGGTTCACGCCATTCTCCTGCCTCAGCCTCCCGAGTAGCTGGGACTACAGGCGCCCGCCACCATGCCTGGCTAATTTTTTGTATTTTTTTTAGTAGAGGTGGGGTTTCACTGTGTTAGCCAGGATGGTCTCGATCTCCTGACCTCGTGATCCGCCCGCCTCAGCCTCCCAAAGTGCTGGGATTACAGGCGTGAGCCACCACGCCCGGCCTGGTCACAGTAATTTTAAACAAGATACTTGACATTTATGTCTCTCTGGCTTTTTATCACAATAATTTTATCCATGTTTCTAATACTCAGGCTTCTTGAAGAACTTATGAAAGAAACACACAATCAAAGAAGCTGAACGACCACCTTGTTATTTCTGAGGTCAACCAAGTTTCATTATAGGATAACCCAACCAAATGATCAAAAGTTAACAGAAACCAGGCAGGCAATACACTGTTTAACTAAATCCAGATCTAAAGAAGAAAAACTGAAGGGCAACCACCAAGTATGAGGTTTATGGATTAGTTTTTTATCTTCATTTTTTCTAAAAACAGGGTCTCACTACGTTGCCCAGGCCAGACTCAAACTCCTGGGCTCAAGCAATCCTCCCGCCTCAGCCTCCCAAAGTGCTAGGATTACAGGCATGAGCCACTGCACCCAGCCTGTTTATGGATTTCCATAGCCTTTTGGAAATGAAGCCACCAGCGATTTATTAGGTTTTCTTTCTTTATGCAAGTATGAAAAAATATAGCTACAAGCTCCTTTGTTTTAGCAGTTAATAGTAACATGAAAATCAATGTCCAGCTAACTTTTTCTGTAAATGGCCAGGGAGTAAACATTTCAGGTTTTGTGTGTCACATATTCTTCCTTGTTCTTTTTTTTTTTTTTTAAATGTAAAAAGCATTTTTAGCTTATAAGCTGTACAAAAACAAGCCATGGGCCATATTTGGCTTCAAGCAGTAGTTTGCTAACCCCATGTTAATTATCATAAATAGTATATTTGTTAAATAGTCCTAAAATAATATTTTTTTAAAAATCACTTTTCATTTCACCTTAACACAAACACCTTACATCAACAGGAAAATAAGCAGATTTCGTTTAAATTAAAAAAAAAAAAAAAGGCCAGGCATGGTGGCTCACACCTGTAATCCCAGCACTTTGGGAGTCGGAGGTGGGTGGATCACCTGAGGTCAGGAGTTCAAGACCAGCCTGACCAACATGGAGAAACCCTGTCTCTACTAAAAATACAAAATTAGCCCGGTGTGGTGGTGCATGTCTATAATCCCGGCGACTCGGGAGGCTGAGGCAGGAGAATTGCTTGAATCCAGGAGGCGGAGGCTGTGGTGAGCCGAGATCGTGCCATTGCACTCCAGCCTGGGCAATGAGAGCGAAACTCTGTCTCAAAAAAATAAAATAAAAAATAAATACAAAAAAATATGTTTTTTAATGTAGTCTAGGGTGGTCTTGAATTCCTGGGCTCAAGCAATCCTCCTGCTTCTACCTCCCAAAGTCCTGGGATTATAGTCATGCCTGGCTGGAAAATATGCAGATTTAAAAATTAACATAATATACCCGCCCCCAACTGATATGAAATCAAAAAGCTTTAGATAAAATGATCTACCTCAAGGAATTGTTAGTTTCCCTTCTAGTTAAGCTCCCAGAGTGAACCACTTCTACTAATGACCACTAGGTAAGAATAAATTAGCTCAAAGAGTAGGTGTATATTTTTTCTGTCAAACGACAGAAGTAAAAAACAAAAATGCTCATACATTTCCTGTCAGTAAGAGCATTTTGCAAACTGAATACCCTTAACTGGGAGACAGTATTAAAATGCATGAAAGAATTATTTATTGATTTTTAGAGAACAAATAGCCAGGATGACTGATTTAAAACTTTTTATATTCATGCTTATATCCACTTCAGGGAAAAAGTACTCATCGGCATTGCGTTGTGGTTTTCTTACATTCTGTTAAAAATGTAAGAAAAATGTAAGAAAAAATTCTTACATTCTGTTGAAAAAACAAAACGAAGGCCAGGTGCGGTGGCTCATGCCTGTAATCCCAGCACTTTGGGAGGGTGAGGCGGGTAGATCACCTGAGGTCACAAGTTTGAGACCAGCCTGGCCAACATGGTGAAACCCTCTCTCTACTAAAAATACAAAAATACAAAAAATTAGCTGGGCGTGGTGGCAGGCGTCTGTAATCCCAGCTACTCAGGAGGCCGAGGCAGGAGAATCGCTTGAACCTGGGAGGCGGAGGTTGCAGTGAGCCGAGATTGTGCCATTGCACTTCAGCCTGGGCAACAAGAGTGAAACTCCATCTCAAAAACAAAAACAAAAAAACCTCTCAAACTCAATGATTTATATAAAATCCTCAAATCTTCACCAGACATTTAGTATTACAAAAGAACAGATGCAATCTTGAACCTACCTGATCTACACAGGAGGTAAGGGTTTATACTCCTATTTTCCCACATATGTTGAACTGTTTCTAAAACATCTCAGAATGTCTCATATTCTGTGGTTATTAAATAGACTTGAGAACTTTTAAAAAAATACATGCAAATCATCTGTATCATTCCAATTTTACTATTATGTGCTGCTAAAGCGAGCACAGACGTTGAGTTTTAAAAATATTATATATGATAGGCTGGGCACGGTGGCTCACGCCTGTAATCCCAGCACTTTGGGAGGCCGAGGAGGGCAGATTACGAGGTCAAGAGATCGAGACAATCCTGGCTAACACGGTGAAACCCCGTCTCTACTAAAAATACAAAAAATTAGCCAGGCATGGTGGCGGGCGCCTAGAGTCCCAGCTACTCGGGAGGCTGAGGCAGGAGAATGGCGTGAACCCGGGAGGTGGAGCTTGCAGTGAGTCGAGATCACGCTACTGCACTCCAGCCTGGGTGACAGAGCAAGACTGTCTCAAAAAAAAAAAAAAAAAAAAAAAAAAAAAATATATATATATATATATATATATATATATATATATATATATATAGTATGTGATAGATATTTTAAAACAGAGTAAATGCTTCTTTCTGAGTATTAAATTAACATACATGTTTAATGTTGCTGCAGACTGAAAGTCTGGTCCTAATTCCTCACCCATCTCTGTACTCACACTTTTGCCACGGACTCACTTTGAGTAGAATGTATTTTCCCTTCTCCCAACCTGTGGCTCAACTAAAAATATGGAAAAAAAAAATTAGCCAGGTATAGTGGCGCATGCTTGTAATCTCAACTACTCGGGAGGCTGAGGCAGGAGAATTGCCTGAACCCAGGAGATGGAGGTTGCAGTGAGCTGAGATTGCGCCACTGCACTCCAGCCTGGGCAACAGAGCAAGACTTACCTCAAAAATAAAATAAAACAGGTCGGGTGCAGTGGCTCACGTCTGTAATCCCAGCACTTTGGGAGGCCGAGGCAGGTGGATCACTTGAGGTGGGGAGTTCAAGGCCAGCCTGGCCAATGTGGCGAAACCCCAACTCTACTAAAAATACAAACATTAGCCGGATGTGGTGGTGGGTGCCTATAATCCCAGCTACTCCGGAGGCTGAGACAGGACCATTGCTTGAACTTGGGAGGCGGGGGTTGCAGTGAGCCAAGATCACACCACTGCACTCTAGCCCGAGCAACAGAGCAAGACTCTGTTTCAAAAAAAATAAATAAATAAAATAAAATGGAACCTTCCCTCTCCTTGAAACACCTTTCCTGAAACCTGTTCTCCTGTCAGGTCACCACCTGCTCTGCCTGTGAGACAGGAATCTTTGATGTAGTACATGACATTTACTATACCTCTCCTTCTTCACCACCCATTCTCTGCCTACACCATCACTTCCACTGCCAGCACTGGCAAAACACAGAGACATGCATGCACACATACGCACCTTCCCTTTGGAGTACTGCTTCTGGTTCTATCACTCTACTGAAACTGCTCTCTTCAATGTCACTAATGACATCTTAGACAGCAAATACTGTATGGTTTTACTTAGTCCTCATTACCTTTGACTTCTTTATAAAAAATGATATTCTCGGCCAGGCGCGGTGGCTCACGCCTGTAATCCCAGCACTTTGGGAGGCCGAGGCGGGCGGATCACAAGGTCAGGAGATCGAGACCATCCTGGCTAACATGGTGAAACCCCGTTGCTACTAAAAATACAAAAATTAGCCGGGCGTGGCGGCGTGTGCCTGTAGTCCCAGCTGCTGGGGAGGCTGAGGCAGGAGAATGGCTGAACCCAGGAGGCGGAGCTTGCAGTGAGCCGAGATCGCCCCACTGAACTCCAGCCTGGGCGACACAGCAAGACTCTGCCACAAACAAACAAACAAACAAACAAACAAACAAAAAGATATTCTCTTTTTTTGGGAGGGTGGGGATGAAGCCTTGCTGTCACTCAGGCTGGAGTGCAGTGGCACGATCATGGCTCACTGTAACCTCCGCCTCCTGGGTTCAAGTGATCCTCCCACCTCAGCCTCCCAAGTAACTGGGATTACAAGTGTGCACCACCACACCCAGCTGATTTTTATATTTTTAGTAAAGACAGAGTTTCACCATGTTGGCCAGGCTGGTTTCAAACTCCTGACCTCAAGTGATCCGCCCACCTAGGCCTCCCAAAGTGCTGGGATTACAGGTGTTAGCCACCACGCCCAGCCTCTCTCCTTCTTGAAACTGCTTTTCCAGTAACTCAACAGAAAAATTGGCAAAAAAAATCTACAAGGATATACAACAAACTGACAACAGGGGTAAGTACTTGATAAGGCATTAAGATTAGAGATGATAGTTACCGTGAAATTTATTTTTATCTGTAATGTTTATCCTTTTTCAAGGATAATGAATTACTTGTATAATTAAGATTAATTTTACAGGGCTGGGAGCAGTGGCTCACACCTGTAATACTAATGCTTTGGGAGTCTGAGGCAGTTGGATCACTTGAGACCAGCCTGGCCAACGTGGTGAAATCCCGTCTCTACTAAAAATACAAAAATCAGCCAGGCGTGGTGGCATGCGCCTGTAATTCCAGCTACTTGGGAGGCTGAGAGAGGAGAATTGCTTGAACCTGGGAGATGGAGGTTGCAGTGAGTTGAGATTGCGCCACTGTACTCCAGCTTGGGTGACAGAGAGAGACTGTCTCACACACACACAAAAAAGATTAATTTCACAAATATGAAAAAGATTATACCAAGCCAGTTACAAAATAAATTCAGATCTGTAACTAAGAAACACATGAAAAAAAGTTCAAATAATCACCCAAAGCATTAGACAAACAATAAAAAATAAAACAAGATGTTATTTTTTTGCCTATTAGATCTCTTTCTCTCTCAGACACACACACATGCATGTATGCACAGACACAGGCAAGCATTAACAAAGCAGTGGCCGGGCATGGTGGCTCACAGCTATAATCCTGGCATTTTGGGAGGCCTAGGCAGGCGGATCACCTGAAGTCAGGAGTTCGAGACCAGCCTGGTCAACATGGTGAAACCGTGTCTCCACTAAAAATACAAAAAATTAGCTGGGTGTGGTGGCACACGCCTGTAATCCCAGCCACTCCGGAGGCTGAGGCAGGAGAACTGCTTGAACCCAGGAGGCGGAGGTTGCAGTGAGCCGAGATCGCACCACTGCACTCCAGCCTGCATGACAGAGCGAGACTCAGTCTCCAAAACAAAACAAACCAAAACACCAAAGGGGTAAGGAAATTGATACTTTCATATTACTGAAGGGAATGTAAACAGGCACAGCTTTTTTAGGAGGCAATATGGCAAACTATCAAAATTTAAATACATCCTTTGACTTAGCAATTCTACTGTAAGAATACATTTTATAATAATATTCATAAGTTCATGGATGCACTCTGTAAGTGCTGTCTGTGATAGAAAATAAATGGAAATGATCTAAATGTCTATCAATGAGGATACCCACCACTGAATATCTACGTAAGAGAACACTATGCAGCCATTTCATGTGCTGACATCAAAAAACAGTAATGATATTCTTAAGTGAAAAATACTGGCTTGCCCAATTTTCCACTATTTTCCTCTACTTCCTGTAGTATCCTCTCTTGTCTCATTCTCTAAACACAGTAGTTGACAAAGTTTGACCCTTGTCTTCCTCTTCTCTTCTGCTTTTATTTGAATTGCTCACCAGCTCACAGACCTTAACTACCAACTCTCTGCTAATGTTCTTCAAGTCTCTATCTCAAATATCAACTTTTTCCCAAGCTCTAGTATTTCATTTCTAAACGTCTGCTAGCAATGTCTACCTAGTGACCCACAGGTACTGTCAACTAAATTAGATATGAGCCACAGAAAGATATAAAACTAAACAGATCCTTCACACAAGAAAACATGGCCAGGCGTGGTAGCTCACACCTGTAACTCAAGCACTTTGTGAAGTCAAGGCAGGAGGATCGCTTAAGCCGAGGAGTTCAAGACCAGCCTGGGCACATGGCAAAACCCAGTCTCTACACACAACACAAAAAAATTAGCCAGGCCTGGTAGTGCGTGCCTGTAGTCACAGCTACTCGGGAGGCTGAGGTGGGTGGATCACCTGAGCCTGGGAGGTCGAGGCTGCAGTGAGCCATGATCACACTACTGTACTCCATCCTGGATGGGAGTGAGACCCTATCTCAACAACAACAACAAGAAAACACAGGAAAGCATTTTTTCTTCATCACCTTTCCTTCAAGCTTACAACTTCTCTCCTCAGTTGCTAGAACTATTGATTCTACCTCTGAATCCTCTGATCAACTCTTTCCCTTGATTGCTACTGCCACTACCATAATTCAAACCCCCATTACTTTCCACCTAGATCATGGCAATATCATCTTAATTATGCTTAGTATGCCTCTCATGATCTCAGTATCCAACCCACCAATTCATCTCACACAGTGCTGCCAGCTTACAAAGGCACGGCTCTGCTCACATTACCCTTCTGCTCAACAATCTCAGTTCCCCAGTGGTCACCGAATAGCAGAAAGACATCTAAACCAGTCACTCAAAGGAATCCTTGAGCTTGCCCTAATCAACAACTCCTAACAGGTTTTAAAATGGGAATGCTGGTTCCCCAATATCTAAACATTTTCTTTCTTTCTATTCATATTGAAAACTCTCTTGAATCAACATCAGGTAGAAGACAATTGCTTGCAAGGAAACAAAGAGATCTGCAGGAGTTCCAGGAATGCTGTGCATTTAAGATGAGAACAAGTACCATGAAAATGACCATAGTTACATGTGCTTCAGTTCCGATAAATTCTACACTGATTACTAATTCAATATCCTTCTCAAATACTTACAGGAGTAAATGAGAGCTGGAAAAAGCGTTTCATTTCTCTCCTGAGCTGTTTCAACCAGCATACGAAGTGGACCTTTCGGACACAAAACAGCCACTAAATCTAGAAAAAGAAAAACATAAAAGACATCTAATAAAATGTATGGGCTAAACTTGTAAATGGGTGGTAGGGAGGAATTAACGAAGGAAAAAAGTTTAATGTTTTTTGTCTCTTTTTACACAAAAAGACGTTGAATGAATATGAAATAAATGGCAGGTGAACTGGTGGGGGTGGGGGAGACAACATAAACAAAATAAAATGACACAGAACATCTGTAAAAATTTCATTTGGGTTTGACTGCTATTTGCTTAGTGTACAGTGTATCGTTACTGGGGTATAGGAACAAGTCTTCCTAGTTTAAAGGAAAGCTGCAGAGATAATGATGAGATAGACTATTTTAAGCAGTTGTCAACCTACAGTGAGCAGAAACAGGGAGAAGTCACTTCTAAACTAATCACGGATATGAACTACAAATTAAAAAGATTACTCTGAGATGAATTTAATAAAGGGGATTTGACTGAACTTTTCAAAATATGAAGAGCAGAGTAGAAGAAATTCATCCCTTCTCCTTTTTAAAAGCAGTATTACGTACTACTGAGAAGTACTTGAAGTAAGAGGGCAGTAAATTTAAATAAAACACAATAATAACTCTTTGCGAGATAAAGTTTATTACTTCTTTACTCTTTGGTCACAAATATTCAGGTCTCAGAACATATGTATGTGGTGCTGAAAAGTAGCTTATTTTACAAAAATAATAAATCAGAGAGGAAACAACATGCCTGTTATTCCTGTTTATACCACCATTTCTTTCGATCAACTGCACTTTTTCTTTCATTCTCTGTCATGAAAATTCAGCATATAGGCCGGGCGCAGTGGCTCACGCCTGCAATCCCAGCACTTTGGGAGGCCGAGGTGGGCGGATCACAAGGTCAGGAGATCAAGACCATCCTGGCTAACACGGTGAAACCCTGTCTCTACTAAAAAATACAAAAAATTAGCTGGGTGTGGTGGCGCGTGCCTGTAGTCCCAGCTACTCGGGAGGCTGAGGCAGGAGAACGGCGTGAACCCGGGAAGCGGAGCTTGCAGTGCGCCGAGATTGCGCCACTGCACTCCAGCCTGGGCAATACAGCGAGACTCCGTCTCAAAAAAAAAAAAAAAAAAGAAAGAAAGAAAGAAAATTCAGAATATAAAAATATAAAAATAATTTTAAACACTGAAAAATATAAAACAGGTATAGCTAAACTTGTAAAGGAAGAATTGATAACTTGTATTCACATTATTGTCACTTAAATGCATTTACATTTAAAAATTTCATGTCTTGCCAGGCACAGTGGCTTATGCTTGTAATTCCAGCACTTTGGGGAGGCTGAGGCAGCAGATCACTTGTGCTCAGGAGTTTGAGACCAGCCTGGCCAAGATGGCAAAACCCCGTCTCTACCAAAAATACAAAAAATTAGCAGCTCATGGTGGCAGGTGCCTATAGTCCCAGCTACTCAGGAAGCTGAGGTGGGAGGATTGCTTGAGCCCTGGAGGTGGAGGCTGCAGTGAGCCAAGATGGCGCCACTGCCTAGGTGACAAAGTAAGACCGTGCCTCAAAAAAAAAAAAAAAAAAAAAAAAATTTCATGCCTCAAAGTGGTCATGTCTCTTCATATAATAATATATATGTACAATATAATATAGTATATATAGAACTATAATATAATATAGTACAGTAATAAAACACACATACACAAAGAAATCTCTACTCTCACCACTTCTACCTCAATTTGTTTGAATGAGAAGTCTGCCCTGCTCTGAAGTGATGAGATTTTCAACTTGTTTGATTCTGCCACATTCAGTACTATTTCAGTTTTATGATACACTCTCCCTTAAAGAATTGCTAAATGATAAATCTGCTTATTTTTTAGAGCAATTAAATTAAAATTGCTTTTGCTTTGAAAATTTCAGAACTTTTTTGACAAATTAAATCTTGAAATCTTGTAAAAATGGAGCCGAGAATCACTACTCTAAACATTGGGTACAAAAATCTCTTTTGTTTAAAAGCAACTCAAAGCTCTGTAGAGATACTCATTTGTATGATGTGCAGACAGAATGGAGGGTTGATGGTAAAAATATTGTAATACGGTGAAAAGAATATTGGACTTGGGATTCAGATTCGAGATCAGAGTTTAGGCTTAGGCAAATAATTTACCTCTGTAAACTTCAAGTTTCTTAGCAGTAAAACAGGGATAATAACTGCCTTGATACTTCATAGGATTATACAAAAATATAACACTGGGCTGGGTATAGTGGCTCACACCTGTAATCTCAGCACTTTGGGAGGCTGCTTGAAGCTAGGAGGTCAACACCAACCTGTGCCTGTAGTCTTATCTACTCGGGAGGCTGAGACAGGAGGACTGCTTGAGCCCAGGCTTTTGAAGCTACAGTGAGCTATAATCGTGCCACTTCACTCCAGCCTGGGAGACAGAGTGAGATCCTGTTTCTTAAAACAGAAAAAAATTTACTGATAGACATTGTTCTAAGTGTATTATTGTATTAAATGGATCATTTAATTTAATCTTCATAACTGACATAGGAGTTGAGTAACTTGTGTGGTCAAATAGCTAGTAAGTGATGAGTAGGCTGGGCGCAGTGGTTCAAGCCTGTAATCCCAGCACTCTGGGAGGCTGAGGCAGGCAGATCACTTGAGGTCAGGAGTTTGAGACCAGCCTGGCCAACATGGCAAAACCTCGTCTCTACTAAAAATACAAAAATTAGCTGGGCGTGGTGGTGCGCACTTGTAGTCCCAGCTACTCGGAAGGCTGAGGCAGGAGAATCGCTTGATCCCGGGAGGGAGAGGTTGTAGTGAGCTGAGATCACGCCACTGCACTCCAGCCTGGGCAACAAAGCGAGACTCTATCTCAAAAAAAATAAAAATAAAAAGTGATGAGTAGAATTTGAACCCAGACATTCTGTCTCCAGACCTGGCATTCTTACTCACAGCTAAGCAAGAATAGATGGTTACTTTGCAAACCATCAAGTACTATACAACATAAGGTAATTATGAAAGTCAGAGAGAGTATATGACTTCTATAGTTCCACAACTGATTACTCAAATACAAGAACAGAACCAGTTCAATCCTATTTCCACAGACTTCTTCGTCAATCAAATGAGGATGATGTTTCCTATTACAGGCCACCAAACATTTTAGTAAGTATGTAAATAATGACAAAAGTGTATGGCCAGGCCGGGCACGGTGGCTCATGCCTGTAATCCCAACACTTTGGGAGGCCGAGGCAGGTGAATCATGAGGTCAGGAGATCGAGATCATCCTGGCTAACATGGTGAAACCCCGTCTCTACTACAAATACAAAAAAATAGCCGGGCGTGGTGGCAGATGCCTGTAGTCCCAGCTACTTGGGAGGCTGAGGCAGGAGAACGGCATGAACCTGGGAGGCGAAGCTTGCAGTGAGCCAAGATCACGCCACTGCACTCCAGTCTGGGCGACAGAGCCAGACTCCGTCTTGAAAAAAAAAAAAAAAAAAAGTGTATGGCCAGGCATGGTGGCTCATGCCTGTAATCCCAACACTTTGGCAGGCCAAGGTGGGAGGATCGCTTGAGGCCAGGAGTTCCGGACAAGCCTGGGAAACACAGTGAGATCTCATCTCTGAAAAAAAATTTTTTTTTAAAAAATTAGGCATGGTAGTGCATGCCTGTAGTTCTATCTACTTTGAAGGCTGAGGTGGGAGGATTGTTTGAGCCCAGGACAAGGGTTTGAGGCTGCAGTAAGCCACGTTCATGCCACTGTACTCTAGCGTGGATGACAGAGAGAGATCCTGTCTTTGGAAGAAAAAAACAAAAAGAAAAAAAAAAGAGTATGGCCATGGCCTTATAATATAGAAGGGGTCACATATTAATCTCTGAAAATGGATCTCTTTTTGGCTTTCATACAAGGCAACAGCCACAGAGTACGTACCTGAAAGCTGCCTGGGTTAATGGCTGGAGTATGTTCTAACTGTTCAGGACCCATGTCACACTGGTGGTTACAGAATGTGAATCTCACACTGTCCAAATCGGTTTTATTTTTAAAAGAATAATTCTATACATTACCTTATAAAAAGTAGGTAACCTAATTTTGATTTTAAAAGTGAATTGAGGCCAGATGCAGTGGCTCACACCTATAATCCCAATACCTTGAGAGGCCAAGGTAGGAGGATTGCTTGAGCCCAAGAGTTCAAGACCAGCCTAGGCAATATAGCAAGACGTTCTCTCTACAAAAAATAAACAAGTTAGTCAGGCATGGTGGTGCACACCTGTAGTTCTAGCTACTTGAGAGGCTGAAGTGGGAGGATCGCATGAGCCAGGGAGTTCAAGGTTGCAGTGAGCTATGACTGTGCCACTGCACCCCAGCCTGGGTGACACAGCAAGACTTTGTCTCAAAAAAAAGAAAAAAGCTTCTGCAGTAAGATATAAAGGAAAAAAATCGTTTAAAAAATGAATTGAGCATTTTGTGTGTCTACCACTCTGCTTGTGCTTTTTTTTTTTTGCTTTTTTTTTTTTTTTGAGACAGAGTCTCGCTCTGTCACCCAGGCTAGAGTGCAGTGGCACCATCTCGGCTCACTGCAACCTCCACTTCACTTCCTGGGTTCAAATAATTCTCCTGCCTCAGCCTCTCAAGTAGCTGGGAATACAAGGGTACGCCACCACACCCAGCTAATTTTTGTATTTTTAGTAGAGACGGGGTTTCACCATATTGGCCAGCTTGTCAAAACCTCAAAAAGCTTGAAAAACCAAATTTTTTTTGAGACAAGGTCTTGTTCTATCACCCAGGCTGGAATACAGTGATGCAATCATGGCTCACTGCAGCCTTGACCTCCTGGGCTCAATCGATCCTCCCACCTCAGCCTCCTAAGTAGCTGGAACTACAGGTGTGCACCACCATGCCCGGCTAATTTTTGTATTTTCTGTAGATACGAGGTTTTGCCATGTTGCCCAGGCTGGTCTTGAACTCTGGGCTTAGGTGATCTGCCCGCCTCAGCCTCCCAAAGTGCTAAGATTACAGGCATGAGCTACCATGCCCAGCCGAAATCTTCAAATGAAAAAGTTACTATAGCTAATTAATGATTTACTGAAGAGTTATGGGATGTACACGTTACCATTTTCTCTAAATCAAGATAAAGAGATGAGGAAAGAAAACACTCCAGTGGGGCATTCCTGTGACAAACAAATTATCAGTCTTGGGTTTTACCATATACTGAAATCACAGCCAAGATGAGCCACGCAGTCCATTCAGGGAGGTACTTGATAAACACCAGGGCCATGAGGGCACTAATCATAATGAGATATGCCTGCTGGAGTCGAAGTGGACCTTTCCAGTGAATGGAAATCATTCCCACCACACCAAAATTCCAGATCAGGAGTGCAACAGTAATGTAGTCCACAGCAACGTTATAGGTTTTAAACACTTCCCTGAAAAAAAATTACACAGATTTTAAAAGATGTACAATAATTTTCACCAAAACATTATTTAGAATAATGTGATGGCTCCCAAACATTAGATATTAATATCCCACCTTTATAATTTTACCATAACCTATATCAACTGTGCTATTATTTATTTAATACTTCCCTTTAAATTAATTTACTCTTTTTTTGTTTTTGTTTTTGTTTTTGAGCCAGGGTCTCATTTTGTTGCCCAGGCTGGAGTAAAGTGGTGCAATCACGGCTCACTGCAGTCTTTACCTCCGGAGATCAGGTGGTCTTCCCAGCTCAGCCTCCTAAGTAGCTGGGACAACAGGTGTGTGCCACTATGCCCAGCTAATTTTTCTAATTTTTTTTGTACAGATAGGGTTTCAACATGTTGCCCAGGTTGGTCTAAAACTCCTGGGTTCAAGCAATCCACCCGTCTCAGCCTCCCAAAGTGCTGGGATTACAAGCATGAGCCACGGTGCCTGGCCAATTAATTCACTTTTTTCCCTCAAGTTGAACAATTCACTTTTTTTTTCCCAAGCTGAACTTTTTCTTAATAGGAAGCTCTGTATCATTCATATAAATGGGAAACCAGTTGCACAGGCCATAACTATAAAAATGAGTACGAAGAGGAAAAAAGATCATATCATACCTAAAATGCCATACTATACTTTGGGAAATATTAGTTTAAAACATCTGAAATTAGAAAAAATTAAACATGTGCTAACAAATTTTATAGCTAGGACATAAATTTTCATACAATGAGATTTAGCAGTCATTAAAAATAGATATATGCAGGCTAGGCACAGTGGCTCACACTCTAATCCCAGCAATTTGGGAGGCTGAGGTGAGAGGATCACTTGAGGCCAGGAATTCCAGACGAGCCTGGGCAACACAGTGAGACTCTATCACTACAAAAAAATTTTAAAATTAGCTAAAGTTGATGGCACATGCCTGCAGTCCCAGCTACTCAGGAGGCTGGGGCAGGAAGATAGCTTGAGCCTGGGAGTTAGAGGCTGTGTGAGCTATGATCACACTACTGCACTCCAGCCTGGGCAACACAGCAAGACCCTAAAACTAAAAAAGAAAAGAAAAAAAAAATATATGTACGTATTTTGGAATTTCAAAGTGGGAGATAAATCATTTTTCCAGACAGTATCTGAAACCCAAAGTTTATGCTTAAATAAAGGTGTGCTTTCTTTCACCTTCAAAGCGGGAGAAGAATCATCATACACACACACACACTTATACATACACATATATACAAATACATTTTTTAATACACACATATAAACATGGAGTATAGGCATAACACACTGTTGCTTGAAAAAATATAGGATCCCATTTATGATCCCATTTATGCAAAGTAGTGTGAGAGAAGAGTAGATGAGAAATTGATATATTAATTCCTGAAAGGATGACAGGACTTATCTTTAGGTGGTGGGAATCTGGTCATTTTTCTTCTTTATAATCTTATATAATGTCTTTTTTAAAAAAACAATGAATGTTAAGTATTTTTATAATGAAGAAAATGCTATTTTAATTCTGGGGAGGCAAAATCCACCATCTAACAACAAAGAGATTGCAACTGTAGAAGATGCCTGAGGTAACTGAGGAGAAAGCAAGCACGCCTTTAGGCATAAACTTTCAGTTTCAGGTACCATCCAAAAAGATGATTCCTCTCCCACTTTGAAATTCCAAAATAGAGTAAACATTGAAATTTCTGGACGATGTAGATATTTATATTAAGCATTTCCAGTATCCTCAAACTAAAAAACAAAAACAAAAACAATCTATTTATTAATCTTTGGCCAGGTAACACATGAATAAGATATAAAATTCACAACAGATACTGTGAAAAGTAGGTTTTCTCCCCACTGTGCCCCATGGTTCCCCTCTTTAGAGGAAAGCACTACTTTTTCTTGAGATGGGGTCTTGCTATGTTGCCCAGGCTGGCTATGAACTCCTAGGCTCAAGCAGTCCTCCTGTCTCCACCTCCAAAAATGTTGAGATTACAGGTGTGAGCCACCGTGCCTGATTGGAAAGCACTACTATTAATTTCATGTACATCCTTCCAGAAAGTCTATACATGTCATATATATACTTTTCTACTTGACACAAATGATAGCATATTTTAATTTTTTTTTTTTTTTTTTTTAAATAGAGACAAGGTCTGACTGTCACCCTGGATAGAGGGCACAACCACAGTTCACTGCAGCCCCAAAGTCCTTGGCTCAAGTGATCCTCCTGACTCAGCCTCCCAAGCAGCTGGGGCTACAGGCATGCACCACCACGCCTGGCTAAGTTTTGTATTTTTTGTAGAGATGGAGTTTCAACCATGTTGCCCAGGATGGTCTAGAACCCCTGGGCTCAAAGGATCCTCCCACCTCGGCCTCCCAAATAGGTGAGATTACAAGTGTGAGCCACCACACCCAGCCTTAAAATTCTCAATAGATCTTGCATATTATCTTTTTTACCCCTCTAAGCTGTCAGTTTATTCACTTAAAATATCTATTTCTTCAGAAGCAGGAGCAGGGACTGCTGGACCTCAGTGTCCCCTGCCTTCCTCTGCACAGCCTGCACTAGCAGCTCTGAGTACAATGTACATAAGGAGGGGTAACCTGAGCTGGAGAGGGCCTGGAGCCACATCAGACCCCTCCACCCCGTTGTTGGCCTACAACTGGCTGTGGATCCAAAGGAAGTTAGAGGCCAGCTCAGTCTACACCTGCTACTGCTCAGTGCCCACCCGGTCAAGGGAGACCAACACATGGTAAAGGTCAAGGGCTTCTTGGAAGGCAGTCAGCAGCCTGTGCAAGATGTTCTCCACACTGCTCAGCTTAAGGGGAGCTGGGGGCAGGACCTCAGCTGGCATCTCTGCTTCACCAGTGTCCAGGGCTTGCACAATTCTTGTTTACTCGTAGATATTTAATCTTTTTTGCTGCTATCATAAATGGGACTTATCCTTTTATTATGTTTTCTAACTAGTTGTTTATGTGAAGGTTATTGATTTGTGTTTTCACTTTATTTTTTTGAAATGGAGTTTCACTCTTGTTGCCCAGGTGGGAGTGCAATGGTGCGATCTCGGCTCACAGCAACCTCCATCTCCCAGGTTCACGCCACTCTCCTGCCTCAGCCTCCAGAGTAGCTGGAATTACAGGCACCCACCACCACGCCCGGCTAATTTTTTGTATTTTTAGTAGAGGTGGGTTTTCACCACGTTGGCCAGGCTGGTCTCAAACTCCTAACCTCAGGTGAACCACCCGCCTCGGCCTCCCAAAGTGCTGGGATTACAGGCATGAGCCACGGCACCCAGACAGGGGACTTTTGTTTAATTTTGTAATCAATTAATTGCCTTACCAAACTTACTTAGTAATTTGAATTGGTTTTCAGTTAGTTCTAAAACAAAGTAAACAATCATTTTATCTCCAAATATTGGTAATTTAACCTTCTTTTCCAAATTATATAGTTCGTATTTCTTTCTCCTGTTTAATTGTGTTTGCTAGTCCCTCCAGAGCAATGCTAGATAATTGGTGATAAAGAAAACCTTCATCTCAGCCAGGCACAGTGGCTCACGCCTGTAATCCCAGCATTTTGGGAGGCGGAGGCAGGTGGATCACCTGAGGTCAAGAGTTTGAGAACAGCCTGGCCAACATGGTGAAACCCCTGCTCTACTAAAAATGCAAAAATTAGCCGGGCATAGTGGCAGGTGCCTGTAATCCCAGCTACTTGGGAGGCCTTGATGCAGGAGAATCGCTTGAACCCAGGAGGCAGAAGTTCCTGTGAGCCGAGATCACACCATTGCACTCCAGCCTGGATGACAGAGTGAGACTCTATCTCAGAAAAAACAAAACAAAAAACAAACAAACAAAAGAAAGAAAAGAAAACCTCCATCTCATTCCTGACCTTAATAGGCAAGCTTCTAGCTTCCCTATGAGGATGACATTGGCCTTTAGAATGAGATGCATACATTTTATAATGTTAGAGATTTAGTTATTTATTTATTTTTAGAGACTGAGTCACCCAGCCTGGGGTGCAGTGGTGCAATCATAGCTCACTGCAGCCTTGAATTCCTGGGCTGAAGCCATCCTCCCGCCTTAGTCTCCCATGCAGCTAGAACTACATGCACACACCACAACTGGCTAATTTATTTTTTGTAGAGGCAAAGTCTTGTTATGTTGCGCAGGTTGGTATCCAACTTTCAACCTCAAGCTATCCTCCTACCTTAGCCTCCCAGAGTATTGAGATTATAAACATGAGCCACCACACCCGACCCCGTCTATTTATTAAGGAATCTGATCAAGAACAGGAATCTTATCAAATGCCTTTTAGCACATACAGAGATGATGATCTAGTAATATGGCAACTTATAATGAACGATTCTGCAAACAAACTCCACTTGGTCAAATGTATTATTATGGCAGGGTGCGGTGGCTCAGGCCTGTTAATTCCAGCACTTTGGGAGGCCAAGGCGGGCGGATCACGAGGTCAGGAGATCGAGACCATCCTGGCCAACATGGTGAAACTCTGTCTCTACTAAAAATGCAAAAATTAGCTGGGCATGGTGGTGCGCACCTGTAGTCCCGGTTACTCAGGGGGCTGAGGCAGGAGAATCGCTTGAATCCAGGAGGTGGGGGTTGCAGTGAGCCGAGATCATGCCACTGCACTCCAGCCTGGGCAACAGCGTGAGACTCAAAAAAAAAAAGTATTATTCTTTTCATCTATTGCTGAATTCTCTTAATATTCTGTTATGCTTTTGAAATCAATAAATATAACCGACCAATAGTTTTCTTTTACTTGATAACTTGCAGGGCTTTAGTTATTAATGTTATGCTGGCTTCATAAAATTAATCTGGAAGCTTTTTTTCTTTTTATATGTTCGGAACACTTAGTATTAGAGTTACCATTCCTTAAAGGTTTAACAGAATTTCCCCATTAATCCACTGGGGCCTGGTACTATTGTTATTTGTGCAGGTGGGGTGGAAACTTCTTCAGTAACTTTCTGTACCTCTTCTTTACTCTGTTTAGATATTCTCTCTTTAGGGGTCAGTTTTGATAATTTTTTTTCTAGAATATCATCCATTTCACATAGATTCTCATATTTGCTTCTTCTGTCTGTGGTTATTTCCCTTAATCCTCTACCAAAGAAATAACTCTCCAATTTATTTATTAGTTTGACTGCCTCTTCGAATTTAAGAGCTAGTGCAATTGTTTACAAACTGTATTCTGCCACTTGAGCTGAGAAAAAGGCCAGGCTGGCACATCTCTGAGCTTCACTATTCTCTTTGACAGACTAGATCCACTTTTTTCTATATTATATATGAAAATTTCATATAAGATTTCATTTGAAAGAAAAAAGAGTCACTGATAAAAAACAATATAGAAGTATGAAAATCAATTATTTTGGTTTTTATACATTCTTAAAACCCTTTCTTAAAACATTCTGATGCACAGACTTCTACTAGAAGACTATATAATCTTCAAAAAGGCTTAGAATTAACTGTAGTCTTAAGTTCTTTCAGTTCTACTTATTATAAGCAAGGAGCAACAGAAGAATGTCTCAATTAGTAATACTGACTAGTCTTTTATATACCAAGTATGACCTATATGTGGAAACAATTAAAACTTCAGAGTAATTCATCAACAAAGTACATGGCTTTAAATGATAGCTACACAGCACAAAGGTAGTTAATTCTGAAAGACAGACCAAAAATTTCACAACTTACCCCAAGTAAATGAATGAAAAAAAGAACAGCAACAATAGAGATGATATAATAAGCCAGGCATGGATGACCTAGAAAAGAAAGCATTTCAATATAATTAACAGGTCCCACAACCCTTAAAAAGTACAGATTTTTTTTTTCTTTTTTGAGACAGGGTCTCACTTTGTCGCCCAGACTGGAGTGCAGTGGCACGATCTCAGCTCACCACAACCTCTGCCTCCTGGGTTCAAGCAATTCTCGTGCTTAAGCCTCCTGAGTAGGTGGAACCACGCGTGCGCGCCACCACGCTAGGCTAATTTTTGTATTTTTAGTAGAGACAGGGTTTCGCCATGTTGCCCAGGCTGGTCTCAAATTCCTGACCTCAAGTGATCCGCCCGCCTCAGACTCCCAAAGTGCTGAGATTACAGATGTGCACCACTATGCCCGGCCCACATCTCTCTTTAAAACAACTTTATAAAATAGTACAATTTGGCAAAGGCCAACAGAATGGCTTTACCTAGATATTGGTACTCCTTGGACATTTGAATATTCTTTTTTTTTTTCTGAGACGGAGTTTCGCTCTTGTTGCCCAGAATGGAGTGCAATGGCGCAATCTCGGCTCACCGCAACCTCCGCCTCCAGGGTTCAAGCAATTCTCCTGCCTCAGCCCCCCAAGTAGCTGGGATTACAGACATGTGCCACCACACCTGGCTAATTCTGTATTTTTAGTAGAGACACAGTTTCTCCATGTTGGTCAGGCTGGTCTCGAACTCCCGACCTGAGGTGATCCACCTGCCTTGGCCTCCCAAAGTGCTAGGATTACAGGTTGCCACCGCACCTAGCCAACATTTGAATATTCTAAATTATATCCAGATACAACAAAGTTGTTTCTGGTGTTCTTCCACAAAAATTTTCCAACATTTTGTTACAAAAATGTTCGAACACACAGCAAAATTTAATTAATTTTACAGTGAACACCCATATATCACCTAGAGTCTACCATTCATATTTTGCAGTACTTGGTTTATAAAATTTCTGTCTAGCTCCTCATCCATTAGTCTTTGTTATTATTAATACATATCAAAGTAAACTGAGAGATCGGGCGCAGTGACTCATGCCTGTAATCCCAGCACTTTGGGAGGCCACGGCAGGCGGATCATGAGGCCAGGAGTTCAAGACCAGCCTGGCCAATATGGTGAACCCCATCTCTACTAAAAATACAAAAATTGCTTCCAACCCTTGACTTGGGACTTCTGGCCTCTGGAACTATGAGAAAAGAAATACATCTTAAAAATTGTTTTAAGCGCTCTCCCTCTCCCTCTCCCTCTCTCTCCCCACGGTCTCCCTCTCCCTCTCTTTCCACGGTCTCCCTCTCATGCTGAGCCGAAGCTGGACTGTACTGCTGCCATCTCGGCTCACTGCAACCTCCCTGCCTGATTCTCCTGACTCAGCCTGCCGAGTGCCTGCGATTGCAGACTCACGCCGCCACGCCTGACTGGTTTTGGTGGAGACGGGGTTTCGCTGTGTTGGCCAGGCCGGTCTCCAGCCCCTAACCGCAAGTGATCCACCAGCCTCGGCCTCCCGAGGTGCCGGGATTGCAGACGGAGTCTCGTTCACTCAGTGCTCAATGGTGCCCAGGCTGGAGTGCAGTGGCGTGATCTCGGCTCGCTACAACCTCCACCTCCCAGCCGCCTGCCTTGGCCTCCCAAAGTGCCGAGATTGTAGCCTCTGCCCGGCCGCCACCCCGTCTGGGAAGTGAGGAGCGTCTCTGCCTGGCCGCCCATCATCTGGGATGTGAGGAGCCCCTCTGCCTGGCTGCCCAGTCTGGAAAGTGAGGAGCGTCTCCGCCCGGCCGCCATCCCACCTAGGAAGTGAGGAGCACCTCTGCCCGGCTGCCATCACATCTAGGAAGTGAGGAGCGTCTCTGCCCGGCCGCCCATCGTCTGAGATGTGGGGAGCGCCTCTGCCCCGCCGCCCCGTCTGGGATGTGAGGAGCACCTCTGCCCGGCCGCGACCCCGTCTGGGAGGTGAGGAGCATCTCTGCCCGGCCGCCCCGTCTGAGAAGTGAGGAGCCCCTCCGCCCGGCAGCCGCCCCGTCTGGGAAGTGAGGAGCCCCTCCGCCCGGCAGCCGCCCCGTCTGGGAAGTGAGGAGCGTCTCCGCCCGGCAGCCACCCCGTCCGGGAGGGAGGTGGGGGGGGTCAGCCCCCCGCCAGGCCAGCCGCCCCATCCGGGAGGGAGGTGGGGGGGTCAGCCCCCCGCCCCGCCAGCCGCTCCGTCCGGGAGGGAGGTGGGGGGGTCAGCCCCCCGCCCGGCCAGCCGCCCCGTCCGGGAGGTGAGGGGCGCCTCTGCCCGGCCGCCCCTACTGGGAAGTGAGGAGCCCCTCTGCCAGGCCAGCCGCCCTGTCCGAGAGGGAGGTGGGGGGGTCAGCCCCCCGCCCGGCCAGCCGCCCCGTCCGGGAGGTGAGGGGCGCCTCTGCCCGGCCGCCCCTACTGGGAAGTGAGGAGCCCCTCTGCCAGGCCAGCCGCCCCGTCGGAGAGGGAGGTGGGGGGGTCAGCCCCCCGCCCGGCCAGCCGCCCCGTCCGGGAGGTGAGGGGCGCCTCTGCCCGGCCAGCCGCCCCGTCCGGGAGGGAGGTGGGGGGGTCAGCCCCCCGCCCGGCCAGCCGCCCCGTCCGGGAGGGAGGTGGGGGGGTCAGCCCCCCGCCCGGCCAGCCGCCCCGTCCGGGAGGGAGGTGGGGGGGTCAGCCCCCCGCCCGGCCAGCCGCCCCGTCCGGGAGGGAGGTGGGGGGGTCAGCCCCCCGGCCGGCCAGCCGCCCTGTCCGGGAGGGAGGTGGGGGGGGGTCAGCCCCCCGCCCGGCCAGCCGCCCCGTCTGGGAGGGAGGTGGGGGGATCAGCCCCCCGCCTGGCCAGCCGCCCCGTCCGGGAGGTGAGGGGCGCCTCTGCCCGGCCGCTCCTACTGGGAAGTGAGGAGCCCCTCTGCCCGGCCAGCCGCCCCGTCCGGGAGGGAGGTGGGGGGGTCAGCCCCCCGCCCGGCCAGCCGCCCCGCCCGGGAGGTGAGGGGCACCTCTGCCCGGCCGCCCCTACTGGGAAGTGAGGAGCCCCTCTGCCCGGCCACCACCCCGTCTGGGAGGTGTGCCCAACAGCTCATTGAGAACGGGCCAGGATGACAATGGCGGCTTTGTGGAATAGAAAGGCGGGAAAGGTGGGGAAAAGATTGAGAAATCGGATGGTTGCCGTGTCTGTGTAGAAAGAAGTAGACATGGGAGACTTTTCATTTTGTTCTGTACTAAGAAAACTTCTTCTGCCTTGGGATCCTGTTGATCTGTGACCTTACCCCCAACCCTGTGCTCTCTGAAACATGTGCTGTGTCCACTCAGGGTTGAATGGATTAAGGGCGGTGCAAGATGTGTTTTGTTAAACAGATGCTTGAAGGCAGCATGCTCGTTAAGAGTCATCACCACTCCCTAATCTCAAGTACCCAGGGACACAAACACTGCGGAAGGCCGCAGGGTCCTCTGCCTAGGAAAACCAGAGACCTTTGTTCACTTGTTTATCTACTGACCTTCCCTCCACTATTGTCCTATGACCCTGCCAAATCCCCCTCTGTGAGAAACACCCAAGAATTATCAATAAAAAATAAATTAAAAAAAAAAAATACAAAAATTAGCCAGACATAGTGGCACACACCTGCAGTCCCAGCTATTTGGGAGGCTGAGGCAGGAGAATCACTTCAACCTGAGAGGCGGAGGTTGTGGAGAGCTGAGATCGCACCATTGCACTCCAGCCTGAGCAACAGAGCGAGACTCCATCTCAAAAAAACAAAAAAGGTAAGCTGAGAACATCTGTACATTTCCCTCCAAATACTTCAACTTTAGCCTAAATTTTATCTCACTCTTTAAAACTTGTCTGTCTTGGCCAAGACAAACAATACCAGTGGGAGATGTACACTGGGATTCCATATTAAGCTTTAAATTAAGGACCAGAGTAAATATTAAATAATTGAAATTCTCATCATTCTTGAGAGATGCTTTTCACCTCGGTTTTTTGGCAAAGGAAGAAGGAGATGTTCTTATTTATTTCTTTTTTTAATTTTATTTATTTATTTTTGGGAGATGAAGCCTCACTTTGTCGCCCAGGCTGGAGTGCAGTAGCATGGTCTTGGCTCACTGCAACCTCCACCTCCCAGATTCAAGCAATTCTCCTGCCTTAGCCTCCCGAGTAGCTGGGATTACAGGCACCCACCACCAACGCCCAGGTGATTTTTGTATTAGAGATGAAGTTTCACCATGTTGGCCAAGCTGGTCTTGAACTCCTGATCTCAAGTGATCCACCCTCCTTAGCCTCCCACAGTGCTGGGATTATAGGCGTGAGCCACCATGCCCGGCCTAATTTTAATTTTTTTAACTGTACCTTCTAGGAGCCCCCAAATATTTTTTTTTTAATTATTTTTTGAGATAGGGCCTCACTGTGTTGCCCAGGCTGGGGTACAGTGGCATGATCGTAGCTCACTGCAATCTCGAACCACTGGGCTCAAGCCATACTCCCACCTCAGCCTCCCTAGTACCTAGGACTATAGGCGTGGGTACACCACCATGCCTGGCTAATTTTTTAATTTTTTTTTTTTCTTTTTGTAGAGGTGGGGGTCTCACTCTGTTGCCCAAGCTGGTTTTGAACTCCTGGCTTCAAGTGATCCTCTGGTCTCAGCCATACTGGTGAGAGTCACCGTGCCCAGTCTTGCTTATTTTAAAAATAGCATTTTTCTGAATCAAAAGTAACATATGCTTGTAACACTTAAGAAACACAGAAACACTAAAAGAAGAAAACTATTCTAAAGGCCAGTGACAACCAAAATTAATACCAACATTTCCCTTTCAGGCCAGGCACAGTGGCTCACGCCTGTTATCCCAGCAGTTTGGGAGGCTGAGACAGGTGGATTGCCTGAGGTCAGGAGTTCAAGACCAGCCTGACCAACATGCCAAAACCCCGTCTCTACTAAAAATACGAACATTAGCTAGGCGTGGTGGCAGGTGCCTGTAGTCCCAGCTACCATGGAGGTTGAGGTGGGAGGATTGCTTGAACCCAGGAGGTATAGGGTGCAGTGAGCCGAGACAGTGCCACTACATTCCAGCCTGACTGACAAAGTGAGACATTGTCTCAAAAAAAAATACGAAACAAAATAAAACCGTTTCCCTTTCAGACATGTTTTCTATCTGCACGTATAGGCGTGTGTAAAGACCTTAACAGTGAGAATCAACTAGTGTACTGTTTACATTCTGCTTTCACAAATGTAATCTTTTATTACAAACATATTCTCATGCCACCAAATATTATTTGAAAATATGATTTTTTTTTAAGAGACTGGGGTCTCACTATGTTTCCCAGGCTAGACTGGAAAACCTGGGCTCAAGCAATCATCTCGTCTCAGGGTCCCAAGTAACTGGGTCTACAGGTCCGTGCCACTGCACCTGGCGTGAAACTATGATTGATTGACTGATTGATTGATTGATTTTGAGATGGAGTTTTGCTCTTGTTGCCCAGGCTGGAGGGCAATGGCGCAATCTCACCGCAACCTCCACTCCCCAGATTCAAGCGATTCTCCTGCCTCAGCCTCCTGAGTAGCTGGGATTACAGGCACTCGCCACCACGCCCAGCTAATTTTTTTGTATTTTTAGTAGAGACAGGATTTCTCCATGTTGGTCAGGCTGGTCTCGATCTTCTGACCTCAGGTGATCCGCCCACCTCAGCCTCCTAAAGTGCTGGGATTACATGCGTGAGCCACCACGCCCAGCTGAAACTATGATTTTTAAATGACAAAATAATAGTCTACTCATACGGATAAACCCACAATTGAACCTTTGCCTTATGCATGGAATCTGTATTGTTTTCCCTTTCTTTCCCCAATTTTAATTTACATTAAAATGAACATCCTACTTCACAAATATTTTTCTGCATTTCTAATTCCTTCTTTAGAATATATCATAAAAGCAAAATTACTAAATCAAAGTGTACAAACTTTTTCTAATTACTGATTTAATTAATACACACTGGCTTAGTTACTTGACAAAAAAGACTAATCTTGACAAAGTCAATATGTCAAATATGTTAATTTGTTATTTTCATATGCATTTCTTTTATTACTATGTTATACACACACATTTCAACAGGCCTTTCTCATCTTGCAAAAATCCCTAGTTCAGCTTTCCTGTGCTAAAGGGTATGAAAGAAAACAGCCCTGCTGTTTTATAGTACACAACAGTATCTTCTCTAAACCCTAAACTATCAAGGCCAGAAATCATCTGACTTTAATAAGTTATAGTTCCTTTTATAACAAATTATGTATAATAATTAACTGCCTTTCCTGTTTTTAACATTTTAAGGTTTGGTCTTTTAGTTTCTAGGGCTTGCCACAGACATTGCATAACCAACCACTGATATGAAAAATCCTCAGGGTTTATTTCCAAACAGGCTCTGGCAAGTTACTCAATCTCTGACTCAAAAGATCCTTTTAGTTATACTGGGTGTCAAAGTAAACAACTTGTTTCTATATAATTGTTTGTGTGTGCTAAGACTTGAACATTAAAAAACATCACAACACAAATGAACAAGTAAATGTGGAGATCTGGCTGAATACAAACCTCTTAAACTGTCTAAAATGAAGGATAAGGCTGGGCGTGGTGGCTCAGGCCTGTAGTCCCAGCACTTTGGGAGGCCGAAACCAGTGGATCACCTGAGGTCAGAAGTTCGAGACCAGCCTGGGCAACATGGGGAACCCTCATCTCTACTAAAAATGCAAAAATTACCCAGGCATGGTGGCGTGTCCCAGTAATCCCAACTACTTGGGAGGCTGAGGCAGGAGAATCACTTGAACCCAGGAGGCGGAGGTTGCAGTGAGCCAAGATCATGCCACTACACTCCAGCCTGGGCGAGAGACTGAGACTCCGTCTCAAAAAAAAAAATAAAATAAAATGAAGGATGGATAAAAGATGTACAAATGCGACAAAAAATATATTAAGAAAGGTTCCAGATAAGATGGAGTAAGTACCTTCCACTCTCTCTATCCCACTGAATACAGTTACAAAACCTGGGCAGAAAGCAGGCAGCAGCTGGTTGCAAAAGATGAAAAGTAATGAGAGGTAGGTGGGCTGGGGAATTAGAAGTACTAGCAGTGAGCTGACCACTTTTTTTCCTCCACCTGTGCTCATTACAACATGAGTGGGCATTAGCAAGACAATGGGAGCTCCAGAAGACCTCTAGTTCTGGCTTGAGGATCAGGAAAGAGGTCTCCTAACACCCAGACAGTGTAAAAATCCAGTTTTTCTTCCTTTTTTTTGGAGACAGAGTCTCGCACTGTAGCTCAGGCTGGAGTGCAGTGGCACGATCTTGGCTCACTGCAACCTCTGCCTCCCGGGTTCAAGCAATACTCCTGCCTCAGCCTCCTGAGTAACTGGAACTACAGGTGCCCACCACCATGCCTGGCTAATTTTTTGTATTTTAGTAGAGACAGGTTTTCACTGTGTTGCCCAGGCTGGTCATAAACTCATGAGCTCAGGCAATCTGCCCGCCTTGGCCTCCCAAAGTGTTAGGATTACAGGCGTGAGCCACCACACCCGGCATTCTTTTCCGCTTTTCTCCATTCTCGTATGCCCAGTCCTCACACAATCCTGTGGTGATGGTAATGTGGGTGGCAGAAGCCTAAAATTCAGAGGGAGGGAATCCTTACTCTGACTGGAAGAATGTCAGTCCCGAGAGAGTGGGGCAAATAGCCCTTGCTTTATTTCTCTCTCTCCTCCCACATTTTGGCCCTGACTTTAGGAAGATAAAGTCCACTTTTGGCTGCAGGAATGGAAAAGGGAAGCCCAAGAAACCACATGGAGATCACAGAAAGAAAGAAACTCATGAAAGCAATCTCTTAAAGCTGTTTATAAACTTGTGGGTCCATTCCCAAGGTGAGTGAGTATGGATATGATCCTCAACAGTACACACCGACCCTGACAACCGAATTACAAATAGAACACCACTATACCAGTCCCAGACTGGTGACTGGGTGGCATATACATGGGGCAGATCTGAGCAACACTGCAAAGGCTTTGACAAGGCTGGCTGGACCTAGCCCAATCAGATCAATTGGCCAATAAAACAAAAATATCAAAATCCTTGGAGCATAAAAATGCTCCAAGAAGTAAGGGCAAACACTCTTAAAATGAAAGGAAAGTTTTAAGTTTCAGAATAAAAAAATGTAAAGACGGGCTATATAGGAATTTTAGAACTAAAAATAAAATAACCAAAAACATTTTACTGAATAGGTTTACCAACAAAATGCAAATTTCAGGAAACTTGAAGACAGATCAATAGAAATTATCTAACCAGAACAATAGTGAAAAAAATTGGAAAATAAACAGAGCCTCAGAAACCTGTGGAATAAAAAGTTATTTGTGTTGTCACTCCCAGAAGAGGGTAAAGAGCCAGGCATGGTGGCTCACGTCTGTAATCCCAGCACTTTGGGAGGCTGAGGCAGACGGATCACTTGAGGCCAGGGGTTTAAGACCAGCCTGGCCAACATGGTGAAACCCCATCTCTAATAAAAATACAAAAATTAGCTGGGCATGGTGGCACATCTCTGTAATCCCAGGTACTTGGGAGGCTGAGGCTGCAGTGAGCCAAAATCACATCACTGCACTCCAGCCTGGGTGACAAAGCGAGACTCGGTCTCAAAAAAAAAAAAAAAAAAGGGCCGGGTGTGGTGGCTCACACCTGTAACCCAGCACTTTGGGAGGCCCAGGCAGGCGGAATACTTAAGGCCAGGAGTTCAAGACCAGCCTGGTCAATGTGGTAAAACCCCGTCTCTACTAAAAATTAACAAAATCAGCCAGGCATGGTGGCAGGCACCCGTAATCCCAGCACTTTGGGAGGCTGAGGCAGGAGAATCACTTGAACCGGGAAGGCAGAGGTTGCAGTGCGCCACTCTGTTTCAAAAAAAAAAAGAGTAAAGAATGTGGTACAGAAAAATTTTGAAGAAATAATGGTTGAAAAATTTTCCAAATTTGGTAAAAGACATAAACCTAGAGATTCAAAAAGCTCAGTGAACTCCAAACAGAATGAACAAAGAAATCCTCACACAGTCCCATAATTAAACTGCTGAAAAGAAAAAGAAAATTTTGAAAGTGACCAGAACAAAACAATGTATTACTTTTAGAAGAACAGTGATTCGAATGACTGATTTTTATGAGAAACCATGGAGGCTGAAAGAAAGCAGAAGAGCATTTTTTAAATGCTGAAAAGGGGAATATCAAGACAATTTTCTGCCCAGTAACAATATCCTTCAGTAATAAAGGTAAAATTAAAACATCCTAAGGGGAAGAAAAATTAAAACAAATTGAGGCCAGCTGCCTTGCTCTAAAAGCATTACTAAAGGAAGATGTTCAGACAGAGGGCAAATAATACTAGAAGAAAACGGCTGTCCTGGCATAGCGGCTCACGCCTGTAATCCTAGCACTCTTGCCTAGGTGACAAAGCAAGACTTTATCTCAAAACAAAAACAAAAACAAAAACAAAAACACACACACAAAAAAACCCCAGCAAAGCAGTCCTACTGATGATAATGAAATGGTATGAAGGATAATTCATTTGATTTATATGCTACCAGGTATCTGAGTAGAAGAGATATGCAAAGGAGAAAACAAACCAACCATGGGCCCTTCTGGGCTAAAAATACTACATTAAAAGTTATATTTAAGGATGAAAATTTAAACCATGAGATTAAAATATAATTTCCCAAGAAGTAATGGGAGAGACGAAAAAGTCCATCATCTGAGAGTCATGGCTGGTTAGCTTTAGAAAACTGCAAAAAGGACCAAAGTAGGAAGAAAAGCAAAAGCCAGAATCAGTGTCAAGTGGGAGGCAATAAATAAGTCAAATGGCAATAAGGTCCAGAAAAAATTAGGTTCAAAAAGGTCAGCAGATACGACCAAAGGAAAAACTGGTAACCACATGATACGCAGTTTCCATGGAGGCATGAAAAGAGAACCCACACTTCAGGGAGCTGAGGACTGAATTTGAGAGGAATCTTACGTAATAGCTATGTGTGTCAATCCAGGCCAAACTCTGGACTCAAATGTCCATTCTGACCCATTAGGTTCTGACCCACACTAGCTGTGTGACCCCTGCCTCAGTGCCTCATCCATAAAACTGGGATAATAGTAGGGGTTACCTCAAAGAACTAGTGTTTAATTAAAACAAGGCAGATGTAAAGCTATACTGTCCTGTACATGTCACTGCCCAAGATTGGGAAAACCTTTACATGCTTAAAAGCAGAGAAAAGAAGAGGTAGTTTAGAAATGGTGTTTTCTCTTTTATGTGTGAAAATATGAAAACACAGAAAAATTAAATAATTTCCTAAGATTACTAGAAGAAAGAACTCTGAGTCCAGAGCTCCACCTATCCAACTACACAGGTATTTTGTAAGGGAAAGGCAGGAAATCTGAATGTAAATTCTAGATTATAAGAAAGAAAAAGTAGAATTCCACCCTCCAATAAAATCTGAGAAATAAACAGAAGAACAAAAGTATAATGGGATCCTGGTAAAAGTCACAAGGTCAGCCTACTAAAGCAGGGAAACTAAAGGCAAGTAAACACGTGCAGACAAAAAAAGGGATAAAGAAAAGGAATTAAGAAACTAGCATTTTTAAAGTGGGGGAGGTGAATGCTTCCCAGCATGGGTTTATATCACTTGCTTTTTGGCCTTCTGAGTGTTGGTAACAACCTGTCATCATCACACATACCTGTCATCTTTAATGGTCTCCATACATTACTAATAGATTATACAGATGGCCATCACTTAACACTTCCACTCACTCAAATGTTCAACATGCAAGGTTAAACTCTGTATAAGCTTAAAGTTCACAAGCATTGAAAAGGTATGTGATATTACTAGTAACCAACTAAATGCAAATTAAGACATTTTCTTTACCTATAAAAACCAGCACAGTTTTAAAAAAGAAATTCAGCACTGGTGGGGTACGACAGATACTCTCATTCACTACTGGTGTTAAGTACAAATTGATATAAGCTTTTTGAAAACGAGATTTTGAATACCAAGACAGTTATAAATATGTAGATAATTTGCCCCAAAAATTCTACTTCTAGGATTTTACCCTAAGGAAATAATTTGAAAAACTGAAAAAGCTCTAAGCATAAAGACAGATATTACTGTTTTTTAAAATAGTGAAACACTAGAAACAAATGTCCAACATCAGGGACATTTGAGAAGTAAATTACAAGGCACTTGAATCAAATATCTCATAGCCATAGAAATATTTTCTAAGAATTTATAATAGAAAAAATGTTCACACCAAAGTAAAAGGACACATATTGATTACACATTTTAACCATGTTAGAAAAGTATACAGAAATAAATACTAGAAGGAAACAGAGTAGACTCCTACATTTGGAAAGTTAATTTTTTTTTTTTTTGGTAGAGATAGGTCTTACTATGTTGCTCAGGCTGGTCTCAAACCCCTGACCTCGGCCAGGTATGGTGGCTCACGCCTGTAATCCCAGCCCTTGCGAGGCCGAGGTGGGTGGATCACCTGAGGTCAGGAGTTCTAGACCAGCCTGGCCAACACGGTAAAACCCAGTCTCTACTAAAAATACAAAAATTAGCCGGGTGTGGTGGCAGGCGCCTGTAATCCCAGCTACTCGGGGGGCTGAGGCAGAAGAATCGCTTGAACCCAGGAGGCACAGCTTGCAGTGAGCCAAGATCGCGCTGTCACACTCCAGCCTGCGGGACAAGAGCGAGACTTCGTCTCGGGGAAAAAAACAAAAAAACAAAAAAAACTCCTGACCTCAAGCAATCCTCCTGCCTTGGCCTCCCAAAGTGCTGGGATTACAGGCATGAGCCACCATGCCTGGCCGAACACTTATAATTTCTATTATTTGAAAATGACCTTAAAAGGTGCATGACTTGTGATAATGTGTAATTTTTTCTAAGGTATGAATCTGAAACGTGCTAGTTGGCTGAAACTCAGCAGTAGGTCACTTTGAAACTCAGCAGTAGGTCACTTTGGCAAAAGAGCGAGCTAGGGGAGGAGAGGCTGAGAAGGGTGGGTCTGTATCTTTCCTGTACAACCTCCCAGCGCCCGACTTCCCAAGGAAGGAAGTAGTACAGTGGAGATGGTGAGAGGATGCATGGTGGCTACCAGTTTAGGCAAGGTGTGACCAGTCACCAGTGAGTTTAATACCAGCATCTGAAGATGGCTTTATTGTTCTGTACTCCAATATAAAAATCTGATTTTAGTTATACCGTATTTTATAGGGACCATTATATCCTACAGTGTTATTTGTGAATGAGGAGATTCATAAAGGTCTTAGAGTATATTTCTTCAGTATACTGTCAATCAAAATATTAAAACCACTTAGGGCCGGGCGCAGTGGCTCATGCCTGTAATCCCAGCACTTTGGGAGACCAAGGTGGGCAGATCACTTGAGGCCAGGAGTTCGAGACCAGTGTGGTCAACATGGTGAAACCCTGTCTCTACTAAAAATACAAAAATTAGCCGAGTGTGGTGGCACACACCTGTAATCCCAGCTATTTGGGAGGCAGAGGCAGGAGAATCGCTTGAAACTGGTGGGTTGAGTCTGCAGTGAGCCAAAATCGTGCCACTGCACTTCACTCCAGCCTGGGTGACAGGGCAAGGCCCTGCTTCAACAAACAAACAAACAAACAAAAACCCACTTAGATTGTGCTATTATATGGAAATGTTTATTTTTCAGTTACAACTTTTTTTGTTTTCTGCTTTTATTTTTTGAGACAATGGCCTAAAAAGGCATTGAAATCCAAAATAACATAAATTATCACTAAATCTTGATAACTAATCATAATATATATATTTTACACTAATTTTTTCATGACATATAGATTCCATGCATATAAAATACTTCCAATATTTGTTTTTTGTTTTCTTTAATAGAGGCAGGGTCTTGCTACGTTGCCCAAGCTGCTTGTGAACTCCTGGGCCCAAGTGATCCTCCTGCCTCAGCCTCTGAGCCTGGCATTACACATGCACCTGGCTTCCTTTTTGTATTTTTTGAATGTTCCACAGTGAGGAGGAAGAAAACTAAAAATTAACTTATCTCTAGAAGACAAAACATTTTTTCTTTCCTAGATCAGTTAAGTTACTGTGACAAGAATACCCAACCATAAGAAGAACAGGGTGGAAAGCAAAGATCTGTGTCTCATGCTCACCTTATAGCACCTGTATTTATACAGAACCACCAGGAGGATAGTCATGACAACAATGACACTGATCATGATGGCAGCATTCAGAATTGAGTGCAGGGCTCTCTGGCCCACAGTCTCGGTATCTTCTGTGAATGGGGTATAGATTCTACAATAAAACAAACACAAAAGCCCTAGGTCAGTGTTAATGGAGATCACCAACCACATTACCACCTCCAACACAGAATTTTCTTTTTCTTAATTCAATTCGTATCTTATAAGTCACTTTTCCCCAACTCACCAATCTAGCTAAGAATTTTTAACCTGAGAAAAACAGCTACACTCTAAAATTGCTTCAAAGAAAATGTCTAACATATGGAAAGAAGGACTTAACATGTGAAGCAGACACTGGCTCCATCTAGTGGGTGCTTTATATTGAAATAATTATAATACCTCATCAAATTTTTTTGGCTACAGCTTATTAGGAACTTGTTATAGAACCAGATTCTGCCACAGAAACCACGTGGGCTGACAAGTGGTTGTCAGAAGAAAGGTAATATGGCTTATAATTAGTGCCTCTCATCTGCAGAGTAATTGCAACTGGAGTTGTCTTAAGATAATGTCACATATCCATCTTCCCCTTGTTTCTCATTCACAGAAAAACATTTTTATTCCAGGTGCCAATATTCCCAGCCAAAAAGACTTTACTTCTGACTCCCTTATATTTAGGATGGCTATGAGAACAAGTAAGGGCAATGACTTCTAGGGAGATGTGTTGTGTATGGAACTTCTAAGGAGAGAATTCTGCTGACATGTCCTATGTTCTTTTCTCCCCTACTCCTTCCTACTGTCAGAATGAAGGCTAGGGCTCCAGCCTGGACCCTGAAGTAAGCTAGAGGTTAGAAGCTAAAGAAGAAAGAAGGAGATTGAGTCCTTGATGAACGTGAAGCCACCGTACTAATCTGGACTGCCTACCTCTGCACTACTCTATGAGAGAGAAAGTATGTGCATTATTTAAACCAGTTGTTTTGATTTTCTATTAACAAAGTCAGAAACATCTCTGTAAAAAGCCAGACTGAATATTTTAAGCTCTATGGGTCATATGGTCTCCAGTGCAAACACTCAACTGTGCTACTGTAGTGTGAAAGCAGCCACAGACAATGTATAAACCAAGGAGCGTGGTCACTTTCCAATGAAAGTTTATTCACAAATTTGTGAATAACTTTGTTATTACACCTTTGTGGAAAGGTAGCAGACAGATCTGGCCTGTGGCTGTAGCTTGCCAATGTTTGTTCTATAATACGTTGCCAAACCTAACCCTAACCTATATGGATAATATTCTTCAATCCCTCTAGTTCTAACCCCTGCCCTTCACCTGCTGTCTTAGATGCTCTCCCAAAAGGCTAAAAGTTTGGCTTTCAGAACACCATGTAGTTTTTCAGACACTTCACAACTTCAAATTCTAAAACTCAATTAAAACTCTTCTTTGGACCCCATGAGAGTCGTAGAGATGGAACTAGATGACATTTGAATCAAGCATTTTTCTTGGAGGCCAAGGGCTGACATCAGCAGCACCAGGGAACCCACATGATAGCCCCCCAGGAGTCTAGAGAGTGCTGGCTTGAATTAGTTGTTCATCCTTTCAATTAACAATTCGTTTGGCCATTTATTATACACCTCACCCTGGAGACTCAGTACCCTCACAGGCCTTGCAATAAAGAAGGAAATTAGGCATTAAATAAACAATGTAAATAAATATATATTTGCAAATTGTGACAAGTGAGAAAGGACAAGTTGCTATGAGAAAAGATACCAAGAAGGACTTAATCGTGTTAGGAGAAACAGGAATGTTATCTTTGAGGATTTAACATTTAAGCCAATGTTAGATGTGAGTTCTAAATTTCAAAGAATTAATACGCCAGTATGTTCAATTCTTTGCCTTCTACTTTTAAACTTAACTTCCTCGTAAAGCAATGTTTTTCCATTACCTGCTCCACCCTCATTCCAGTTACCTGCTACCTGCTCTTCCCTGACTCCTGCCAAAGCACTCACCCCATCATTCTCTTTAAATTAGCCAATTGGAATTAGTTTAGCCTGTGCAGTCTAACCCTAGTCAGTAGGGGAAGAACACAGCAGCAGGGACCACGTGTGTCAGGGATAAGAACCCTTTCCCCTCCCTTGTCCAAATGTGCGCTTGCCATTGTTCCATCTGTAAGGGTGCACCCTTCTATATAGAAGTAACTTGCCTTGCTGAGAATTAAAAGGAAAATTTTATATTCGAGTGCTACTTCTTTTGCGGCACCAAAACTTTATATATAACACCAAGAGGAGGGGGATGACAGGAATTTAATCCACCAAAGTTAGAAAAGGAAAGAATATTCTAGGCAGAAGAGCAATGGGCGCCCAATGGCCCTGAGGTGGAAAAGAATTTATGTGTTCAATTCAGCATAACTTCAGCCCTATCCAGTAATACCATACAGGAAACATACTTCTGCAGTGTTCCTTTTCTCCACTTAAAACATGAAGTAATAACCCCTCGCTCTCTCAACTGCTCCTGACCATCACAGAGGATGGGCTCTCCAGCTAAGTCATGCCCCTTCAATGCAGAGGCCTTCAAGGTGATGATGACATGCTGTAAAGAAAAGCCACACTGGCTTTGAGAATAATAAAACAAAACTCATACGTACAGCTGCCCATCCTTCCGGGTATAAAAGCTGACTGACTTAATGGTAGCCACGACCACCACCATGCAGAGAGTCACAGGGACAAAGAGCATGATCACATGCTTGGCGCCATATTTCAATGTCAGCTCCTCATCTTCTTCCTCATCTTGCTCCACCACCTGCCGGGAGTTACCCTGGGGTCGTCCATTAGATAATGGCTCAGGGTGGCCAAGGCTCCGTCTGTCGTTGTGCTCCTGCCGTTCTCTATTGTCATTCTATAAGCACAAGAAAAACATTTTCAGTAAATCAGATTCTCAGCAGAATCAAGGTAACGGTTAGACCTGGGATTAACAACAGACCCGTCACTATGAGTTCTAAAAACCTGAAGCAAGAAAAAACAATGTACAGGAAGTATGCAGTTTAAAAGTCTAGATTATCTATCATTGTTCACTGAAGGCATTCAGGTCCTCTCTTTTACCTGGGTCTTGGCTTGCTCCATTCTCTCTGTTCATCCCAACATACACAATTGTACTTATCCTTTGAGATGTACCTTAAATACTGACACCTGCATGAAAACTTGTTTACTGGCTGCAGCTCCAAGCACCTTTTTCAAATTCAGCTTTCTGTGATTTCAGACCACATATGCAAGGAACTATCTTACCTTAATTAATAAGACTTTAAAATCCTTGTGTCAGAGGCGTTTGGACCAGAGCAACTCTATCTTGAATAGGGGCTGGGTAAAATAAGGCCAAGACCTACTGGGCTGCATTTGCAGGAGGTTAGGTACTCTTAGTTACGGGATGAGATAGGAAGTCAGCACAAGATACAGCTCATAAAGATCTTGCTGATAAAACTGGTTGCAATAAAGAAGCTGGCCAAAACCCACCAAAACCAAGATGGTGAGGAGAGTGACCTCTGGTTATCCTCACTGCTCACTATACGCTAATTATAATACATTAGCATGCTAAAAGACACTCCCCGCCAACACCATGACAGTTTACAGATGCCATGGCAACGTCCGGAAGTTACCTTGTATGGTCTAAAAAGGGGAGGGATCCTCAGTTCCGGGAATTGCCCACCTCTTTCCCAGAAAACTCATGAATAATCCACCCCTTGTTTAGCATATAATCAAGTAACAGGCCAGGCGCCTGAAATCCCAGCACTTTGGGAGGCCAAGGTGGGCAGATCACTTGAGGTCAGGAGTTTGAGACCAGCCTGGCCAACATGGTGAAACCCCGTCTCTACTAAAAATATAAAAATTAGTCGGGCATGGTGGCACATGCCTGTAATCCCAGCTACTCATGAGGCTACGGCAGGAGAATCACCTGAACCTGGGTGGTGGAGGCTGCAGTGAGCAGAGATCGTGCCACTATGGGTGACAAAGCAAGGCTCAAAAAAAAAAAAAAATTGGTAAGGTTGAATAAGTGACACAATCAGATGTTTCGTTTTTAGCAAACTTGATTGAGTGGCAATGAATGAGATTTCTAGCATAAGGAACTAGCATTGGTAGAGATAAGGAACACAATGGAACACAATAAGATAAACAGGCTGGAAGAGAGAAGTACTTTAGTTAGAGATATAACCAGGCAGTTAAGTCCAATGGCAGTTACCAATAGGAATTTCAAGCTCAGAAGAGTCAGAGGAAGTCACTGGTCTCTATAGCCTCAGAAATGGATGAAATCTCAGGCCTCAGAAATGGATGAAATAGCTGTGGAGGGAAAAATACAGTAAAAAGATGACCAAGGAGAGAAGTGTAAATAACCCCTAAGCTTAACCAGCAGGTGATGGGAGAAAACCAGAAAACGAGATTAAGAGAATAGAGGAGAAGGAAGAAAACTCAGGAATCAATATGACACAGAAGCCAAAAGTGGAGCACAAATCAGAGGTGTTATCAACAGTCTGGCAGGATGAGAGCTAAAAAGACCCTGAATTGACAATGGGAAGTTCATCAAGGGTTTTACAAAAGTAAAACAGTGAAGAGGGAAGTCGGATTGAGATGAGACTGGATAATTCCCTTGACCCCCTCATGGCTCGGAGCGTGGCTCGTTTACTCGGCCACCACACACTCAAACCCCTTGCAAGAGGCAGTGTGCAAGCGAGTGAGTGAGTGTGGGAATCAGAGCAAACGAATGCGGGAACCAGCCAGTTGCTCCTCTCTGGCAGGCGCAGGCTCTATGCGGCCCCGCAGCAGCATCCAAGTGTGTTACAATCAATGCTCCTTCAACGCGGCCATTCGGGGATGGCCAGGTGCCAGCCAGCTCAGTGGAGGGTCAGGGTGGCAGCCCCTGCCCTCTCCTCTTGGCACCCAGGTTCTCTTCCAGTGTCCAGGAATAATCAGATCACATGAACAGATTGAAGGGTAGTATATGCAGAAGATTGTATTGCACGATGGAAGTGGTTCTCAGCAGAATGGGGAGTTGAAAAAGGGATGGTATGGGAAGAAGGTGATCTTTCCCTGAAGCCAGGCCATCTCCGGCTGGGCCTATTCTCCAAAGCTGCACCATCTGAAGTTAGCCACGTCCCATCCATAGTCTCCAACGCTCACCTGATTCTCTGCTCGCTGCTCAGCCACTTGTATCACCAACACTCAGTGGCTTGTATTTCCGACAATCAGCTGCTTGTATTCCCAACACACAGCCATTTATATCCCTGACGTCAGCTGCTTATATTGTTCTCCCAGCTGCTGAAATCTTTTTTGTTTTTGTTTTTTTTTTTTTGAGACAGAGTCTCACTCGGTTGCCCAGGCTGGAGTGCACTGGCACAATCTGGGCTCACTGTAACCTCCGCCGCCCAGGTTCAAGCAATTCTCCTGCCTCATCCTCCCAAGTAGCTGGGATTATGGTGCCCACCACCATGCCCAACTAATTTTTGTATTTTTAGTAGAGATACGGTTTTGCCATGTTGGCCAGGCTGGTCTTGAACTCCTGACCCCAGGTGATCCACCTGCCTCGGTCTCCCAAAGTGCTGGGATTATAGGAGTGAGCCACCGCACCCAGCCCAGCTGAAATATTTTTATGAGCACAGGATAGGGGCATGGCAGGCCAAAGAGGCAACATTTGGGTGGGAAAAAAAATGGGGTTAGCTGTTTTCACTTAGGGTTGCAGTTCCAGGTTTAAGGGTGGAATTTAGCCAGGAGCCCAGCCCTTCTGTATCAAGGTCATAAAATCATAATGTGCTGGAAAATAACTGAGAACTGAGAAGGTAAAGGCAATCATTCTTCGAAGCAAAAAAAAAAAAAAAAAAGGTGGAAGAGGCTTGCAATAGAGAGTGATTTAACTTGAAAAACTTTTCTTATCCAACCCCACCAGAAATGAAGACAAAAAAAAAAACAGAAAACGTTATTTTAGAGCTGTTAGAGACTTGAGCATACCTATCATGTCACAGTGTAGACTGAAGATTAGAGGAAGAGACAAAGTGGGGATTAAAACTAATGGAATAGGGTAAGGGATAAAGGAGGGTGCTATAGTTTGAATGATCCCCCTAAAAATTCATGTACTGGAAACCTGGTTGCCATTGTGGTAGTATCAAGAGGTGAGGCCTTTAGGAGGTGACTGGGTCATGAGGACTCTGCCTTCATGAATGGATTAAAGGTTCAGTATCCTTTATCTGAAATGTTTGGGACCAGAAGTGTTTCAGATTTTGCATTTTGGAATATTTCCATTATACTTACAGGTTGAACATACCAAATCTAAAAATCCAAAATCTAAAACACTCCAATAAGCATTTCCTTTGAGCATCACATTGATACTCAGAAAGCTTCAGATTTGGGAGCACTTTGAATTTCAGACTTTCAAATCAGGGATACTGAACCTGCAATGTCGTTATCACAGGAGTAGGTTAGTTATCATGGGAGTGACTTTGTTACAAAAGCAAGCTCTCTCTTGCCGTTCTGTCTATCCACCATGGCATAATCAGGTGCTGCTGGTACCATATACTCTTGGGCTTTCCAGCCTCAAGAACCATGAGCTGAATAAACAAATCACCCAGTCTCAAAACAACAACAACAATGAAAAGAATTTCAAAAGATACAAAAAAGAAGAAAACAAATGACAACAACAAAATAAATAAATAAATAAATCACCCAGTCTGCGGTATTCTGTTATAGCAATACAAAAGGAACTAAGACAGAGGGGAACAAAAAAAAGACCGAGGCTGGCGTTATAAAGGCATGGTGTGCTTTCCTTCAGTCTGGAGGTCAGGATTTCTCTTCAAACAGTTATGAAGATCCAAACCCTATGAGAAATGGAAAGGAAACTATTCTAAAGCATAAAAGGTAGAAATATATATACCACCCATCAAGAAAGATTATTTTTGCTGAACTCAAGTCACCAGAGTGGCTAAAGCCCAGTAGAATGGAAATGATTATATGGAAGGTGAGGCCAACGGGACCAGAACATACTGTGATAGACAGCAAGGAGCTGTCTATCTTCTATTCTTCCACAGAAGGAGGTGACTAAGTCATCTGCCAAGAATGTTATATCTGCAATTGATGTTCAGCAGTACAAGTCTGAACAACTTGATTGGCTGATTAATGTTCACAATAAACATACAAGTAATAATAGCTATCTCTATATAGTATTTGGTATTTACAAGGCACTGTCACATTATCTCATTTATTCTTTTTGTCTTGAGAAGTTTTGGTAAATGAACACAAAAGCAACTGATCCAAAAATCTCACAACCAGAAAACAGCAGAGGTAGGAATCAAACTAAAGTCTCTTGCCTCAAAACTTGTTTTCTTTCTATGGCACCACAGCCATCCTTTTAGGTCATATGAACAGTTTAATTAGCTAAGTCTAGCATGAAAGGGGCAATCATATGCTCATTCAGAGTCCCCAACTGGATGATCTGGTTTATAATGAACATTAGCCAACTCAACCCTGCCCTGCCCAAGGCTGATAATGAGATGGATACTAGAACACTGTTTAACTTAACAGTAACATACACATTCACAAACTCTTCCTCTTTGTAGTACGCTGGATACTACTTTTATTTTTATTTTATTATTATTATTATTATTATTTTGGAGACAGAGTCTCATTCTGTCGCCTAGTAGTGGCACAATCTTGGCTCACTGCAACCTCTGCCTCTCAGGTTCAAGCAATTCTCCCGCGTCAGCCTCCCGAGGAGCTGGGATTATCGGCATCCACCACTGCGCCGGCTTAATGTTTGTATTTTTAGTAGAGACAGGGTTTCACCATGTTGGCCAGGCTGGTCTCGAACTCCTGACCTCATGATCCGCCCACCTTGGCCTCACAAAATGCTGGGATTACAGGCGTGAGCCACCGCGCCCGGCCACACACTACCTTTTTTTTTTTTTTTTTAAGACGGAGTTTCACTCTTGTTGCCCAGGCTGGAGTGCAATGGTGCGATCTCGGCTCACCACAGCCTCTGCTTCCTAGGTTCAAGCAATTCTCCTGCCTCAGCCTCCTGAGTAGCTGGGATTACAGGCATGCGCCACCATGCCTGGCTAATTTTTTGTATTTTTAGTAGAGATGGAGTCTTATCCATGTTGGTCAGGCTGGTCTCGAACTCCTGACCTCAGGTGATCCGCCCACCTCGGCCTCCCAAAGTGCTGGGATTGAAGGCGTGAGCCACTGCGCCCAGCCCAGACACTACCTTCAAAACTGATTATGTTTTCAGGAATAGTGGCACATACCTATAGTCCCAGGTACTCAGGAGGCTAACGCAGGAGAATCGTTTGAGCCTAGGAATTCGTTTGAGCCAGAATCGTTTGAGCCAGGGAATGTAGTGAGACACCATCTTTAAGGAAAAAAATACTGTTTTAATTTCTTTATTTAAAAAAAGCACAGTTTGGGCCGGGCGTGGTGGCTCATGCCTGTAATCCCAGCACTCTGGGAGGCTGAGGCGGGCGGATCACCCGAGGTCAGGAGTTCAAGACCAGCCTGGCCAACATGGTGAAACCCTGTCTCTATTAAAAATACAAAAATTAGCCAGTGTGGTGGCGGGCACCTGTAATCTCAGCTACTTGGGAGGCTGAGGCAGGCGAATCGTTTGAACCCGGGAAGCAGAGGTTGCAGTGAGCCAAGATCGTGCCACTGTACTCCAACCTGGGTGACAGAATGAGACTCCGTCTCAAAAAAAAACAAAAAAAAGTACAATTTTGTGACAGAAGTGTTGGTTAGAGACAAAAATGGCAGATTCACTGGCTGTCCAGATTTAATTTATGAATGAACATATATATATATGAAAATAAAAGAAGCAAGTTCCTAAAGTATTGCATAGGGTACTCCAACTAATCAGAAGACTATGGCTGAATCACTACATTTTATGGGTGAAATCATAGTGTGTGAAATTTGGAATTTAAAAGTCTCTAACTTATGTTATCATATCTTGGGTTTACCCCAGTGACACTGTATTATATAGTGGTAATTAGCCCAAGTTCTGGGGTCAGACTACCAGGATTTAGATTTCTCTTCTATATAGTGTGATTTGGGGCGAGTTATTTAACCTCTTTGAACTTCAGTGTCTTCATCTGTAAAATGGTGATAAAAAAAGTATCTCCTGATAGGGTTGTTGTAAATTCTACTGGGATAGTACTTCAAAGACGTATCTCACGGTGTCTGGCACATATTAAGCATTCAGTAGTTTTACCATTTATTCTACATATACATATTCCTATGGCTATTAGCAGGTGCCAAGGTATAACTGATCTCCTCTTAGGGTATTGTCCAGATGAAACTGCATATAAAATTCCAGACATTTTTAGTCTATCAATAGAAAATCGTCGGCACTATGGAATTAGAAAATTCTGTCTCCCAAATGTTGATCTCCATCTCTGACCTCTCCTAGAACTCTATTCTAAGCTTCTCCTCTGTCTTCTCCATTTATCTCAATAAACAGCAGCACCATTCTCCCAGTTTCTAGGAAGTCCCGAATCTAGGAATTATTCTTGATTCTTTTCCTTAGTACCTCTGTCTAGTCAGCCAGCAAATTCTGCCAGAATACCTCCAAAACATCTCCTGGATCTATCTGCTTCTTTCTATGTCCATAATCTTTGTGGTTCAAACCACTATTATCTATCATTTGGATTACTGTTAATAGGCTTCCAATTGGTCTTTCTGCTTTTATGCTCCCCTAGTCCATTCTCCACACTACAGCCAGGATGATTTTTTTTTTTTAAACAAAATGAGATCATGTCATTCCTTTGTTTAAAACTCGATTACAATGGCTTCTTGTCATGCTCATAACAAAATCAAAACTTCTTAGGCTCATGAAGTCTAAAATGGTTTGGTCCTTGCTCTGACCACAAACTGTTCCTCCTCTCTCCATTCCTTTTCTCAAACTGGCCTTCTAGTTCCCCGCTCAGGGCTGGTTCATCTGGAATGCCCTTCTCCCACCTGACTGTTCCTTGTCACTCAGTTCCCTCCTGGTAGAGAGAGAATTTCCTGACTATCGAATGTAAGGAAGCCTTTCTCTACGTTGATCTGGTTTTAATTCTCTGAAGTGTACTTGTGATTATTTGATGTAGCTCCTGTTTGTCACTTGACTATTCTTAGAATATAAGTTTTCTCTAAGACAGCACATGTTATTGACCTTTGCTGGATCTCTAGTGTCTCCTGTACTCTATAAATATTTGTTGAGTTAATTAATGAATGACTCCTGTAAGATTGTTTGTGAAGCTCGGCTAATTTTTTGTAGAGACAAAGTTTCACCATGTTGCCCAAGCTGGTCTTGAACTTCTGGGCTCAAGCAATCCTCCTGCCTTGGCCTCCCGAAGTGCTGGGATTACAGGCATGAGCCATCGAGTCCAGCCATCTTGTACTTTTAGATTGCAGTTTTGGGTTTCAGAGATTTGTAGTTCACTGAAAATGAAGCACCATGTAGGTGTGCCTGGGAGGGAATTTTGCTAAGAATTCTTACTAAATAAAGTTCAATCAATCAAATGTTATTGTACTTCAAAAATTTTCCAGGGAAATCAATTGTCGGCTTCCATTTAAAGACTGTATTCTGTCTAAATGTGCTGTTAAAGTAAAATGTGACATAAGAATCTACAGATGATAATCGAAAGGAAATAAAAATAGAGCTCTTCAAAAAAAGTACAATTTATTTGTTTAAAAGCAGGCAAAGCAAAAATTAAAAATAAATAAATACATAGGTAAAACATTCACATGGTCTCAAAGAAAGTATTAAAAGGTATAGAGTACAAAAGCTCCCTCTTAATATATACCTAGTTTCCTAATCCCCCTGCTTACTACTGTTATTTGGTGAATCCTTTCAAAGTTTCTTTCTACATATGCAAGCAAATACAAACACATACTCTTACTCCCCCTTTTCACACAAATGGTAGTACAGTAAATGCACCATGCAGCATTTTGTTTTCTCCACTTAACTATGTATCTTAGAGATTTTTCTACACATCAGTACATAAAGAATATCCTCATTCTTCTTATCTTTGAGACAGATTCTCTGTCACTAGGCTGCAGTGCAGTGGCATAGTCAACAGCTTACCACAGCGTTGACCTCCTAGGCTCAAGCAATCCTCCCACCTCAGCCTCCTGAGCAGCTGAGACTGCAGATACGTGCTCTCTCTCTCACTCAATCGCTTGTTCGCGTGCTCTCTCTCTCTCTCTCTCTCCTTCTCATGGAGAGAGAGAGAGAGAGCGCGCGAGCGAGCGAGAGAGAGAACGAGAGCATGCCAAATTGCCCTCCCTGTGGATTGCACCAATTTAGAGAATCAGCAATGCAAGAGATTGCCTACTTTACCACACTGTTGCTAACACCTTATGTTAGCAAGTGCTTAGATTTTTACCAATCTGATGGGAGAAATATGGAATCTTGGCATAAATTTAATATCTATTTCTCTTATTATCAGGATGGTTGAGTGCTTTTTCATTTATGTCCTTTTTCTATTTAACTTTTTTTTTTTTTTGAGATGGAGTTTTGCTCCTGTTGCCCAGGCTGGAGTGCAGTGGCGCAATCTTGGCTCACTGCAACCTTGGCCTCCCAGGTTAGAGTGATTCTCCTGCCTCAGTCTCCCGAGTAGCTGGGATTACAGGCACTTATCACCACACCTGGTTTGGTTTCTTTTTCTATTTTTTTTTTTTTTTTTTTTTTTTAGTGGAAACGGGGTTTCGCCATGTTAGCCAGGCTGGTCTCAAACTCCTGACCTCAGGTGATCCGCCCGCCTCAGCCTCCCAAAGTGCTGGGATTACAGGCGTGAGCCACTGCGCCCGGCCTATAAACAGCCACTGCGCTGTTTACATGAGGCATTGGGTCATGCCAACAAGTTTCCGCTAATAATGTGATCTACGGTGAGGGCCTTGTGTCACACAGTATCAGCTTGGCCTCTGAAGGGGCCAGAGAACTGAGGTCAGCCATGTGTGACCCGGACACCAAGGCTCAGCCAGCTTCCCTGGTTGCCAATATTCCACGTGTGTTGTCATACACTGTTGCTGGAAAAATTAAGCACTGTGTGCACAACTCCACTGGGAGAGGACTATTGACAGCTTGAGCCTGGGGTGTCTCCTGGACCCTGCCCTATGTGTCTTTTTCTGTTGCTAAATTTAATCCATATCATTTCAATGTACTAAACTATAATTTGAGTATAAAACATTCTCTGAGTTGAGTCTTTCTAGCAAATTACTGAACCTGAGGGTTGTCTTACAGATCCCCAAATATCCTGTACAATGAAACTTACAAAATATTGCTAAGAGAAATTAAAGAACAAAAACAAAAATAGACAAATGGGCCTACACCAAATTTCTACACACCACAGGAAGCAGTCATCAGAGTGAAAAGGCAACCTACAGAACTGGAGAAAATATCTGCAAATCAGGCTGGGTGTGGTAGCTCACATCTACAACCCCAGCAGTTTGGGAGGCTAAGGCAGGTGGATTGCTTGAGCCTGGGAGTTCAAGGCCAGCCTGGGCAACATGGTGAAACTCCGTCTCTACAAAAAATACAAAAATTAGGTGGGTATGGTGGCGAGTGCCTATAGTTCCAGCTACTCAGGAGGCTGAGGTGGAAGGACTGCTTGAGCCTGGGAGGCGGAAGTTGCAGTGAGCCCAGATTACATCACTACTTTACTCCAGCCTGGGTGACACAGTAAAACCTTGTATCGAAAAAAAAAAAAAAAAAAAGCAAATCATATATCTGGTAAGAGATTAATATCCAGAATACATTAAAAAGTCCTACAATAGCATGAACCCGGCAGGTGGAGCTTGCAGTGAGCCAAGATCGCGCCACTGCATTCCAGGATGGGCGACAGAGCGAGACTCCATCTCAAAAAAAAAAAAAAAAAAAAAAGTCCTACAATTAAACAATTGGAAAAAAACAAATCATCAGATTTTTTTAGATGGGCAAAGGACTTGAACAGATATTTCTTCAAAGAAGATATACAAATAGCCAACAAGCACATGAAAAGATGCTCTACATCTGTGTAATATGGGGGGAAAAAAGAAAAGATGCTCAACATCACTAATCATTAGAAAAATGCAAAAAAAAACTACACCCGTTAGGATGGCCACTACCAAAAAACAGAAAGTAACAAGCGGTGGTAAAGTTGTGAAGAAATTGGAACCACTATGCATTGTTGGTGGGAATGTAAAATGGTGCAGCCACCATGGAAAACAATATGGAGGTTCCTCAAAAAATTAAACTACCATATGACCCAGCAATCCCATTTATATAAATACCAATGAGTATATATAAAAACGAACTGAATTACAAACAAGACCTCAAACAGATATGTGCATAGCCACTTTCACCATAGCATTATTCAGTATAGCCACGAAGTGGAAGTAACCCAAATGTCTACTCACAGATATGTGGTATATACATAACACAGAATATTATTCAGCCCTTAAAAAGGAAATCTTGTCACATGCTACAATATAGATGAACCTTGAGGACATTATGCTAAGCAAAATAAGCAAGTCACTAAAAGAGAAATAATGTATGATTCCACTTACATGAAATATCTAGCCAGCTGGGCATGATGGCTCACACCCATAATCTCTGTATTTTGGGAGGCCAAAGTGGGAGGATTACTTGAGCCCAGGAGTTTGAGATCAGCCTGGCCAATATGGCGAGAACTCGTCTCTACAAAAAAATTAAAAAATTAGCGAGGCATGATAGAGTGCACCTGTAGTTCCAGTTACTCAGGAGGCTGAGGTGGGAAGACAGCTTGAGCCCAGGAGGTGAAGGCTGCCATGAGCCAAGATCATGCCACTGCACTCTAGCCTGGGCAACGGAGTGAGATCTTGTCATCAAAAAAAAGAAAAAAACTCAAGTAGTCCATGTTATAGAAACAGAAAGCATATTGCCACGGGCTGAGAGAAATGGAAAATGGGGAGTTGTTCAATGGGTATAAAGTTGTCCAATGAGTATAGAGTTTCAGTTTTTCAAATTCAAAAGCCTCCCCATGAGAACAGCCTTTGACCCATGACTGATGGAACAGATTGACACATATATGGACAACTGATTTTTGCAAAGGTACAAAGGCACTTCAGTGGAGAAAATAGTCTTTTTTAAAAAACAGTGCTGAAACAATTGAATATCCATATGCAGAAAAATGAACTTTGATCCATACCTTGGACCACGTATAACAATCAACTTCAAAAGGATCACAGACCTAATGTAAAACATGAAACTATAAAGCTTCCAGAAGAAAATGCAGGAAAAAACTCCTGAGAACTTGAAGTAGGCCAAAGTTTCTTAAGATGTGACACCAAAAACACAATCAATGAAATACAAACGGAATTAGCTGGGTGCAGTGGCACACATCTGTAGTCCTAGCTGTTTGGAAGAATGAGGCAGAAGAATTCTTTGAGCTCAGGAGTTTGAGGCTGCAGTGAGCTATAATCACACCACTATACTCCAGCCTGGGTGACAGGGCAAGACTCTGTCTCTTTAAAAAAAAAAAAAAAAATCTGCCCTTCAAAAAGCACTGTTAATAAAAAGAAAAGCCACAGTCTGGGAGAAAACACTTGCAAATTATATATATTACAGAGGACTTGTATCCAGACTATGTAAATAATTCTTAAAATCCATTAAGAAAGCAATTTTTAAATGGGCAAGAGATTTGAACAGACAAGTCACCAAAGATATCAGGATGACAAGCACATGAAAAGAAACTCAACATCATTACTCAATAGAGAAATGTAAATTAAAACCAAAATGAGATGTAACTATATACCTTTTTATAAGAGCTAAAAAATTTAAAAGACTGACAGTATCAAGTACTGACAGGATGTGGAGGAACTGGAACTCATACTGCTGGTAGAAATGTAAAATTATACAACCAGTTTGGAAAGTTCTTTGGTAGTACCTTAAAAAGTTAAATATAAGGCTGGGCATAGAGGCTCATGCCTATAATCCCAGCACTTTGGGAAGCCAAGGCGGGAGGATCACTTGAGGCCTGGAGTTCAAGATCAGCCTGTGAAACATAGGAAGACTCCATCTTCTATAAAAAATATAAATAAAAACTGGCCAGGTGTGATGGCTCACGCCTGTAATCCCAACACTTTGGGGGGCCGAGGCAGATCACTTGAGATCAGTAGTTCAAGACCAGCCTGGCCAACATGAAGAAACCTAGCCTCTACTACAAATACAAAAATTAGCTGGGTGTGGTGGCAGGCGCCTGTAATCCCAGCTACTGGGGAGGCTGGGACAGGAGAATCACTTGAACCCAGGAGGCAGAGGTTGCAGTGAGCCAAGATCATGCCACTGCACTCCAGCCTTTGCTCCAGATGGAGCAAAACTCCGTCTTAAAAATAGATAGATAGATAGATAGATAGATAGATAGATAGATAGATAGATAGATAGAAAAAAAAGTTAAATATACACCTACCATATTGGATCATATTCTACTCCTAGGTATTTGCCCAAGATAAATTAAAGCATATGCCCATACAAAGAAAGATCTGTACATGAATATCCGTAACAGCCACTATCTGTAATGCTTCAGAACTGAAAATCCAAATATCTACCAACAAGTAAATAGATCAAAAACTGTGGTATACAACTCAGCAATAAAAAGGAACCACATAACATGGACGAATTTCAAAATAATTATGCTGAAAGAAAGAAGCCAGACAAGAGTCTGTATGTTTTGTTTTTTTTTTAGACAGAGACTCACTCTGTTGCCCAGGCTGGAGTGCAGTGGCACAATCTCAGCTCACTGCAACCTCTGCCTCCTGGGTTCAAGCAATCCTCATGTCTCAGCCTCCTGAGGAGCTGAGATTACAGGTGCACGCCACCACCCCTGGCTAATTTTTGCATTTTTAATAGAGAAGGGGTTTCATGTTGGCCAGGTGGCCTCAAGTCATCGCCCACCTCGACCTCCCAAAGTGCTGGGATTACAGGCATGAGCCACCGTGCCCGGCCTGTATGATACTATTTATATAAAATAGTATCATAATAGTAAATGGCTGCGCGCGGTGACAAAACATGGTTGCCTGGGGATGGGGAGGAATCAGGGAGGAGAAGGAGAGATTACAACAAAACATGAAGAAACTTCTGGAGGTAATGGACATTTTCATTATTTTAACTGTGGTGGTGGTTTCAAGAGTATACATATATATCAAAACATCACACTGTATACTTTAAGTATGTACATTTTACGTCAATTATACCACAATAAAGCTGTTTTTAAAAATGTATCTTTCTTGGGCTGGGCGTGGTGACTCACGCCTGTAATCCCAGCACTTTGGGAGATCGAGGCAGGCGGATCATCTGAAGTCAGAAGTTTGAGCCCAGCCTGGCCAACACGGTGAAACCCCATCTGTACTTAAAAAAAAAAAAGTATACAAAAAAATTAGCTGGGTGTGGTGGTGCGTGCCTGTAATCCCAGCTACTCAGGAGGCTGAGGCAGGAGAATCGCTTGAACCCAGGAGGCAGACGTTGCAGTGAGCCAAGATCATGCCACTGCACTCCAGCCTGGGCAACAAAAGAGTGAAACTCCCTCGCAAAAAAAAAAAAAGGTATCTTTCTCAAGGGAGTGTGTAGGTGCTTTGAAAAGTGTCAAATGAGAGGAAAGTGGTACTAGAATACTGAGGGATTTCCGAAAGGAAAAATCTTGGTAGCTAAATATGAGAATGATGACTTAAGCATGCATGGTATTACCTGTAAGACCATTTTAAAAAAAAGGCCAGGCGTGGTGGCTCATGCCTGTAATCCCAGCACTTTGGGAGTCCCAGGCGGGCGGATCACAAGGTCAGGAGATCGAGATCATCCTGGCTAACACAGTGAAACCCCATCTCTACTAAAATTACAAAAAATTAGCTGGGCATGGTGGCGGACGCCTGTAGTCGCAGCTACTCTGGAGGCTGAGGCAGGAGAATGGCGTGAACCTGGGAGGCGGAGCTTGCAGTGAGCCGAGATCATGCCACTGCACTCCAGCCTGGGTGACAGAGCAAGACTCCATCTCAAAAAAAAAAACAAACAAAACTTTTTATTATGGAAAAAGTTCAAACAAATACTGTCAGAAATGTACAATGAAGCCCATGTGCAATTTATTCAACTTCAATAATTATGAACTCATGCTAATCTTGTTTCATCTACTCCCCCGCTCACTTTGCCACTCCAGTATTATTTTGAGGCAAATCTTAGATATATCATTTCCTTCATAAATATTTTAGTATGTATTTCTAAAAGATAGGAACTTGAAGCCTTTTGCATTTGTGGCTTGATAGCTCTTTTCTTTCAAAATATTATTTTTATTTATATTATTTATTTTATTATTATTATTTTTTGAGACCGAGTCTGGCTGTGTTGCCCAGGCTGGAGTGCAGTGGCATGATCACTGCTCACTGCAACTTCCACTTCACAGGCTCAAGTCATCCTCCGACCTCAGCCTCCCAAGTACCTGGGACTATAGGCACATGCCACCACACCCAGTTAATTACTATTAGTATTATTTACTTTTTTTTTTATTTCATAGAGATGGGGTTTCACCATGTTGCCCAGGCTGGTCTCAAACTCCTGAACTCAAGTGATCCACCCGCCTCAGCCTTCCAAAGTGCTAGGATTACAAGTATGAGCCACCAAGCCATAAAATATTTTTAAATGCAAACTTAGATCCACAGCAAAACTGAGCAGAAAGTACACAGAGTTCCCACATAACCCCTCCAACAGCCTCTATCAACATCCTGCACCACTGTGGTAAACCGTTACAACAGATGAACCTACATTGACAGTCCACAGTTTACCTTAGGGTTCACTTTTTGGTGTTATACAGTCTATGGGTTTGTATAAACAGATAATGACAGGTTTCCATGATTACAGTATCATACAGAATAGATTCACTGCCCTAAAAAATCTGTATGCTTCAGGAGGCCGAGACGGGAGAATCGCTTGAGCCCAGGAGTTCAAGACCGGCCTGGGCAACATAACGAGACCCCAGCTCTACAAAAAAAGTGAAACTAACAGCAAAAAAAATTAGCCAGGCATGGTGGCACACACCTGTACTCCCAGCTATTCACAAGGCTGAGATGGGAGAATCACTTGAGCCCAGGACTTACAGGCTGCACTGAGCTATGATCACACCACTATACTCCAGCCTGGGTGATAGAAGGAGACCCTGTCTCAAAAAAAAAATAATAATGATAATATATATTTGATTCTATGCTAGACATATAAATATACCTCATTCTTAAATATGGCAATTTTGATAAGAAATGTTAATATTTATTGAACAAGTATGTGCTAGGTAGTGTACTAATCATTCAGTTTATCTCATTTAATTTAAATAAAACTCTAAGTTAATTGCTATAAACTTCATTTAACAGATAAAGAAACTGAAGTTTAGCGAGGCCAGTTAATTTGCCAAAGATCATAATGCTAAGAAGTTCTAGAATGGAGATTCAAAGTCCAACTGTTTAGTCAAGAGACCCTACTGTTAACTAGTACCTTTACACTACTAACTGGGTAAACCATAAGCAATTAATGATAAAGATTGAGATTACTGCCACATTCTCACTGTTATAAATAAAACTTCAATAAAAATTCTTGGCACTTCTATGGTAATATTTTTATAGGATAAACTTTCAGAAGTGAAATGCTAGGTGAGATCAGATTAGGTTAGATTTAATTGCTAAATTATTTCCAAAAGGCATGTGTATCTGTAGATTCAATTAAGAGCTTGCCTCCAAATAAATACTAACTTAACTCCAAAGAACACAGCATACAAGAAAGCCTATTTCCCTACAACCTCAGCAGCAGTGTATCAATTTTAACTCACTGATAGGTAAGAAGTGAAGTTTTAATTTTTATCCCTATTAGTAAGGCTGATCAACTAGGCTTTTCATATATTTATTGCCATTTCTATTTCTTACTCCATAAATATTGCTTGTAACCTTTGCTACTGAGTTAAGTTGTTCATGTTCCTTTTAATTTCATAAGAATTCTATGTATATTGGGATATATCTGTCATATATTTCAAGCCTTTGTCCTAGTTTGTTTTGGACTTTGTTCATGGCAGTTTTTGCCACACATTTTTTTCTTTTTTTGAGGCAGGGTCTCACTTTGCTGCCCAGGTTGAAGTGCAGTGGCATGATTACAGCTCACTGCAGCCTCGACCTCCTAGTCTCAAGCAATCCTCCTGCCTCAGCTTCCCAAGTAGCTGGGACCATAGAAGCACACTACCACACCCCACTAATTTTCACTTTTTTTTTTGTAGAGACAAGATCGTGCTATGTTACCCAAGCTAGTCTCAAACTCCTGGCCTCAAGGGATCCTCCTGCCTCAGCCTCCCAAAGTACTAGGAATACAGACATGAGCCACCACACCTAGCTCTGCAATTAAGTTTATAATTGTGTGTAGTTGAATATGAATTTAGGTAATTTTATAAAGAAAACAGAAACTTATTTTTACGACACCCCAAATGCTAACGTTTTTCAATATATACACACAGGTATACATAGTTGTGTTTACAAATATTATATTCTGCCCTTTTCCCTTAATATTTCATGCACGCATGTAAGCAGTTAACATGCCTACGTGGTTATAATGTATTCAATTATGCTGATATATTTATAGTCTGAATATTTACTTAAAATACATTTTTTCAATAATTAATATTTGTAAGAAAATGTATTGGCAGGCACGGTGGTTCATGCCTGTAATCCCAACACTTTGAGAGGCCTAGGTGGTCAGATCACTTGAGGTCAGGAGTTCGAGACCAGCCTGACCAACATGGTGAAACCCCATCTCTATCTAAAATACTAAAATTAGCCAGGTGTGGTGGCACAACCCTGTTAATCCCAACTACTCGGGAGACTAAGGCAGGAGAATCGCTTGAACCTGGGAGGCAGAGGCTGCAGTGAGCCGAGATCGCACAACTGAACTCCAGCCTGGGCGACAGAGGGAGGCTCCGTTTCAAAAAAAAAAAAAAAAGGAAAGAAAATGTATTAATCCTTTAAGACTTAATGGGCAAAAAAAAAAAAAATGACTTAATGGATATTGTTTGAATTTCTACAATGACAAATGTGGGGCTCTAAGCCTGCTCTGTAGGACAGGACTAGAAGAGTGGCTTAACCAAAGAACTGGCAAGTTAAGTGGAAAACTTGAAAACATTTATTAATCATAGGGAACATGCTTCCAACAACACACATAATTCCATTCAGCATCTGACCAAGCTTTGTGATTCCCTGGAGTCAGAGGTTTAACCATTCCTCTAATGCCAAGAAAGGCTGTCATTTCCACAAACAGTTGACATAACTGGTTAGAGATAATACTGAACACTTATGGGGCTGTTATGTTAGGCTTAAGCCTAAAGTTTCTTAACATATTATTAATATTTGTGCCTAAGAGATTTTACTCATGCAAAAGCTAGCATGTTTCTCTGGAGGTCGTTGAGATTTCAAGTTCTTTTTTGCCTTACTCCACTTTAACACAACTGAGAAAACAAATTCATAACTATAATGATACAACAACACTGTCAAAGGCTAACCAGAGCTGCAGATTCTATTTAAATTTAGATCACCCATTTCATTTATTTTTTTTCTCCTCAAGGTCCTTTAAATAGCTCATAGGTTTGCTTTTTGTCTATGTATTTATTTGAGACAGGGTATCACTTTGTCACCTAGGCTGGAGTACAATGGTGTGATCTTGGCTGAATGCAGCTTTGACCTCCCAGGTGAACCTTGAAACCAATCCTCTTGCTTCAGCCTCCCAGGTAGCTGGGATTACAAGGGCGCACCACCACACCTGGCTAATTTTTGTATTTTTAATAGAGACAGGGTTTCACCGTGATGGCCAGGCTGGTCTGGAACTCCTGGCCTCAAGTAATCCACCCACCTTGGCCTCCCAAAGTGCTGGGATTACAGGCGTGAGCCACCATGCCCAGCGAATATTTCTTTTTTCAAATGGAGACTAAGAAACATAACTGAAGCTATTATTGATGACAAGGGCATAATATAAACTCCAATTACCAATAAGAACATAAGAATGCTCTCAAAGATCTCATGCTACCGAGCTTTTGTGGGTTTTTTTTTTCTTTTTTTGAGACAGCCTCACTCTGTCACACTGCACTGGGGTGCAGTGGCACAATCTCAGCTCACTGCAACCTCTGAGTCCTGGGTTCAAGCAATTCTCGTGCTTCAGTCTCCTGAGTAGCTGGGACTACAGGTACATGCCACCACACCCATTGACTTTTTTTTTTTTTTTTTCTTAGTAGAAATGGGGTTTCACCATGTTGGCCAGGCTGGTCTCAAACTCCTGACCACCTGCCTCGGCCTCCCAAAGTGCTGGGATTACATGTGTGAGCCACCATGCCTGGCCTTTTTTGGTTTCTTTTGTATCAGCTGTTCTAACTCCATGACTTTAGTCAGTCATCACAGAAAACCTCGAATGCTTGATCCCTTTCCAGAGATATTCCTCAGGTAGCATACTATTCTTTTGTGACCTTTCCTCACATTAAAAAATATAAAAAAACTTTGGGAGGCCGAGACGGGCGAATCACGAGGTCAGGAGATCCGAGACCATCCTGGCTAACACGGTGAAACCCCGCCTCTATGAAAAATACAAAAAATTAGCCAGGCATGGTGGCGGGCGCCTGTAGTCCCAGCTACTTGGGAGGCTGAGGCAGGAGAATGGCGTGAACCCGGGATGCAGAACTTGCAGTGAGCCGAGATCGTGCCACTGCACTCCAGCCTGGGCAACAGAGCGAGACTCCGTCTCAAAAAAAAAAAAAAAAAAAAAAAAAAAAAAAAAAATATATATATATATATAAAATATTTTAGGTTGGGCGCAGTAGCTCACACCTGTAATCCCAGCACTTTGGGAGGCCAAGACATGTGGATCACTTGAGCTCAGGAGTTCAGGACCAGACTGTGCAACACGGTGAAACCTCATTTCTGCCAAAAATACAAGAAATTAGCCAGGTGTGGTGGCATGAGCCTGTGGTCCCAGCTACTTGGGAGGCTGAGGTGGCAGGATCACTTGAGACCACCCTGGTCTCAAGGAGGTCGAGGTTGCAGTGAGTTTAGATTGCACCACTGCACTCCAGCTTTGGTGACAGCGTGAGATTACTTTTTCAAAATAGCTTTTTAAATTATTAAATAACTGTATTATAGAACATTTAGAAAATGAAAGGGGGAAATCACCAAGATCACCCATGCTTTTCTTCTCTTATTTTTCTGAGATAGATGTAATACAGCCGTGAACCACCATGCCTGGCCTGCAATATACACTTTGGAAGAATCCTAGCAATCTCTAAAATAGTTCTAAGATCCATATATCCAATCACAGCAACTATCTTTGAGAAACTCACACAAGTGCACACAGACTAATGAATTAGTATGTCACTGCAGCACTGTCAGTTATTGTGAAAAACTGGAACCTACCAAATGTTTGTAAACAGAATTATTTTTATATATTCACAAGAGAAAACAAATGCTAGAGCTACATGCATCTACATATACATGAATGCCCAAAATTCTACATAGGAATGTCTCTTTTGCAACATATACTAACATATATGTGGAAATTCTCTTCAACTTTCAGACATAAACCACATAAAGTTTTTTTTTGTTTTTTTTTTTAGATGGAGTCTCACTCTGTCGCCCAGGCTGGAGTGCAGTGGTGCAATCTCGGCTCACTGCAAGCTCCGCCTCCCAGGTTCATGCCATTCTCCTGCCTCAGCCTCCCAAGTAGCTGGGACTACAGGCGCGTGTCACCACGCCCAGCTAATTTTTGTATTTTTTTAGTAGAGACGGGGTTTCACCATGTTGACCAGGATGGTCTGTCTCTTGACCTCGTGATCCGCCCTCCTCGGCCTCCCAAAGTGTTGGGATTACAGGCGTGAGCCACCGCACCTGGCTTTTTTTTTTTTTTTTTTTTTTTTGAGACAGAGTCTTACTCTGTTGCCCAAGCTGGAGTGCAGTGGTGCAATCTTGGCTCACTGCAACCTCCACCTCCAGAGTTCAAGCAATTCTCTGCCTCAGTTTCTGGAGTAGCTGGGATTACAGGTGCCTGCCATCACGCCTGGCTAAATTTTGCATTTTTTTTTAGTAGAGACAGGGTTTCACCATGTTGGCCAGGCTGGTCTTGAACTCCTGACCTTGTGATCCACCAGCCTCGGCCTCCCAAATTGCTGGGATTACAGGCGTGAGCCACCACACCCAGCCTAAAGTTTTAAAACATGCCAAGTGTATTACATAATGCGATACGATTTATGTACATAAATATTATAGTAAGCCTAATACTCAATTTTATTAAACATGGTAAATACCCAATTCAGGACAGTAACTATCCTGAGAAAAGAGGAAAAAGAATGGGGGAGGAGCACTTCAATTTTATCTGCAATTTTTTGTCATATAACTAGTCTCTTTTCAAATTAAATGCAAAATCTTGTTTTGTTTAGTTAGGATTTCATTTAGTGTAGGATCAATAAGCAATAGAAGCAAAAAAAGCTTATCAAAAAAACAGCAAATAAGATGTTAAGGTTTAATAAAGCTGGGTGATAGGTACATGGGTGCCTATTACATTATGTGCCATACTTTCTGTATGTGCTAGAAACATTTCACAACAAAAACTTGAGAAATAAATATTTGGGCTAAAAAAACAAACACAACTTCAGCTCTCTGACTATTCTGTCATCAAACTTCAAATCCCTTTACTATGAATGAGATTATGCACAGCAGCCCACAAAAGGAAAACTATTTTCCAGGCTATAGCAGCTCGTCACAGTATTTGCTTAGAGTTGAAGAAATGAAGCTAAAGGCAAGATTTAACCTTTGGAATGAGAAATGCTTTAGATGTTATCTTCTATTTGAACTATAACAATATAGAACTGTAATAGTACTCGAAGTTAAACAACAATGTCAACTAATTGAATAAGACTTGGTTAGTCAGATCCAAAATTATTTCAATTTGATTATACTCTGGTAGACAACTGACTTGATCCTACTGCTCAGGACTGTCCCAATTTTAAAACTGAAAGTCCTGTGTTCTAGAACCTCTAGTTTTAAACAAACCTGGACAACTGCCCATCCTAGCTTCTGGGCACATCAAAACTTCCCAGCTGGGAAAGAATTTTCAAATTATCTAGTAAATTACCTAATTTTACTGATGGGAAAAGTGAAGAATCCTAAATCTTCAGAGTGTAAAAGGAAGTTCCACGCCATTCAGTGCTCTAGTTCAACTGCGGAATTCACGGACTAATCCTCTACAGATCTTGCTGGAGTGGCCTTTCAGCCTTTTGTGACTGTTTGTAGTGAAATGTACACACAAGCCTACAAGGCAGCCCAGATGTACCATAACTGTGGGAAAATTAAAAAAAAAAAAACACAGAACCTCTCTATGTTGCCCATGCTGGACTCAAACTCTTAGACAAGCAATCCTCGTACCTCAGCCTCCTGAGTTCCTGAGTAGCTGGGACTACAAGCATGCACCACCATGCCAGGCTATGAGAAAGTTCTTTTTATTGATCCAGACCTTATTGCCTGGTAACTTCCACCACTGTTCCTAGCTCTGCTCTCTGGTCCTAACAGAGGAAAATCTGACCCCACACCTAGTGCAACTGGATAGCTTATAGTTGGCCTTGTGTTTTCCTCTATTCTGGGTCCACCTCTAAAAATCCTATAGATACTCCAACTGTCTCACAGGACATCCATGCTCTCTCTCTTTTCTTTTCTTTCTTTTTCTCTATTTATTTATTGTTTATTTATTTATTTTTGAGATGGAGTTTCGCTCGTCGCCCAGGCTGGAGTGCAATGGCGCGACGTCAGCTCACTGTAACCTCCACCTCCTGGGTTCCAGCGATTCTCCTGGCTCAGCCTCCTGAGTAGCTGGGATTACAGGCACCTGCCACCAAGCCCGGCTAATTTTTGTATTGTTAGTAGAGATGGGGTTTCTCCATGTTGGCCAAGCTGGTATTGAACTCCTAACCTCAGGTGATCTGCCCGCCTCAGCCTCCCAAAGTGCTGGGATTACAGGCATGAGCCACCGTGCCTGGCCTCTGCTCTCACTTTATGATGATTAGCTAGTAGAGTTGCAGTCAAATTTCATGTCTGTGTATGTAGCTGGTGAGGAATCTCTTTGTCCGACAGCACAGATTACGTTCTTTTCCTGAATCCCTCCTTTGAACCCTTAGAACTTCTACACTTATCCTTGCATTGTACAATCATAATGAATATTTACTGAGCACTAAAAGGAACTGTTAGGTAATGAATACAGTAAATAAAATGGACTCAGCCGTAGAAGAATAAGAGCAAGATAGGTAAAATAATAAACAACATGAACTATGAGGCGCTGCACACCTTGGGAAGCTGGAGAAGGCTTCAACTGAGGTGGTGATATGTGAATTAGGTAGGAACTGTATCAACACCTATGTGTTAAACAGCCCTGTGTCCTCCAGCAATCAGCTGAAGTTCACCAAATATATTATAAATGTGGTAAAGTAGAGAAAGCCTGCCTAGCCCCCTCAGCATTTCTCAGAGGTGAGGGGAGATGATAAGTGAATCCAGTCTGGCAAAGGCAGTTTCAGAGACTGACACTGTACCTGGCTACGTACAGTATTGCTCAGGTGGTTGTCCTCAGACATCTGTGCATTCTGGAAGTAGGACAACGGTGCAGGTAACTCTGTCATTGGAGCAACTGTATAGAAATACTGTTTCACAGAAAACAAAGCCTCTTGAGGTTCTGAAAAGGGAAAGAAAAACAGAACTTTGTGCACTACAATTATACTGTTATAAAAAACACTTTCATAGATTACATTAAGCAGAAACAAACCTTTCTTTCATGTGTTCTCCTCCAGGCCAAGCTGTCTAAGGACCGCAAAGGCTGTTGTCACTTGCAGGCTCCCAGATTAGGTCTGAAATAGGATTTCACCAGGTCATCCATTGTTAGTTAAATCCTAGTAAATTCATTTAAACCAATCAAATACTTATAAGACCAATTTGTAAACCAGGAATGTATTAATTTGTCACGACTTTCAACTAACTGACAAATTTACTATAAGCTCAAGGTAGACCTCTTTAGCAATAAGTAGAACCGCCTGAGACACCAAACATTTTCAACCACAAAGATACTTAATGACTTCTGATTTCCAGCAAAGGGAGCTGAGTAATCTTAAGGAATGTTCTCAACATTCCTTTTTCTATGCTGACCAAATTCAACCTAATCTTTATATTTTCATAAAATCATTTGTCTAGCGCTTTTAATTTTGCAAAATTCTATAATGTCATCTTATCCTTATCACAATGCCCAAGGCAGGACGGACAGATAACATGCTTATTTTACAAAAGGAGAAGGGAATCCAGAGAAGTTCAGTGACTTGCTTAAGATGACACAACTGGGTAGAGCTGGCAAGAAATCGCAGACTCAGCCAGGAGCGGTGGCTCATGCCTGTAATCCCAGCACTTTGGGAGGCCAAGGCGGGCGGATCACGAGGTCAGGAGTTCGAAACCAGCCTGACCAACATGGCGAAACCCCATCTCTACTAAAAATACAAAAATTAGCCGGGTGTGGTGGCGCGCATCTGTAATCCCAGCTACTCAGGAGGCTGAGGCAGGAGAAAAGCTTGAACCCAGGAGGTGGAGGTTGCAGAAAAAAAAAAAAAAAAGAATGGCTGACTCCTGACTCCCAGCCTCAGACCTCTCCTTTGATCTTGGCGCAGCCTTATTTACAGGGATGACTGTGTCTCTCAGAGTTCACCCTCCTAGGGGGGCCACATTCCCATTTGCCTGTCTACCTTAATTTCCATCAGCCAATTCTTTATGATTTCAACTCTTCCTTTTCACAGAAGGTTTTCAGAAATATAGAAGGCAAAAATCCGTGTACATACCTAACGCTAATTAATACATTACCATATACACATTTACATAAAAAAATTTTCTCAATGTCCTATTTCATTTTCACTTTTAACATCAGGATACTCTTTCCTCTAAATATTCCATTTTTTTTCTTCTAATGATTTTTCATCAAAAATGCATAAAGTAATTTTTCCTCCAGCAAAGGTATCAAGTTCAAAATAACCCTTAACTACTTATATTTGTATCATTCAAATCATTACACATTTTTAACCAAGGTGACATTCCACTTTATCATACATGCTTTTATGTACCATGTCCATCTTTCTCCTCCCCTCACCTTCAGCCCATTGTCAGCTAGCATGAGATCAGCGAAATGCAAATTCATATTAATTGAAAACAGTGCAAATTTGCTTAAAAAATAAAGAGCTTAAGGCCAGGAGTTGCAGATCAGTCTCCAGCCTGGGCAACATAGGAAAACACTATCTCTACAAAAAAATAATTAGCTGGGTGCAGGTGGGATGCATCTGTAGTCCCAAATGCTCAGGAGGCTGAGGTGGGGGGATGGCTTGAGTCCAGGAATTAGAGGCTGCAGTGAGCCAAGATCTCGTCACTGTACTCAGCCTGGGCAACAGAGTGAGACTCTGTTTTTAAAAAAAAAAAAAAAAAAAAAGATTTTTTAAAACTAGATTTTTGTGGGAATTTAACCTATACTTAAGAGTTATCGATACCTTTGTTCCTGTCTTTATTTTGAGACACAGTCTTGCTCTGTCACCCAGGCTGCAATGTAGTGGCACGATCTCGCTCACTGGAACCTCTAACTCCTGGGTTTAAGTAATTTTCGTGTCTCAGCCCCCCGAATAACTGGGATTACAGGTGTGCACCACCATGTCCAGCTAATTTTTGTATTTTTAGTAGAGACTGGGTTTCACCATGTTGGCCAGGCTGGTCTCAAACTCCTGACCACAAGTGATCCACCCACCTCAGCCTCCCAAAGTGCTAGGATTACAGGTGTGAGCCACCACGAACCAGCCCTGTTCCTGTCTTTTAATATGGACAAAATTAAGATTTCACAATACAGACGGTCCCTGATGACAGTTCAGTTTAGAACTGTTCAGCTTTAGTATGATGCAAAAACAATATGTATTCAATACAAACTGTACTTTTTGAGTATCCATACAAGTTCACTTTCAGTGAAGTAGTCAATAAATTGCATGAGGCCGGGCTCGGTGGCTCATGCCTGTAATCCCAGCACTGTGGGAGGCTGAGATGGGTGTTACTACTTGAGGCCAGGAGTTCGTGACTAGCCTGGCCAACATGGTGAAACCCTGTTTCTACTAAAAATACAAAAAAAATTGGCTGGGTGTGGGTGGTGGGTGCCTGTGGTTCCAGCTACTCAGGAGGCTGAGGTGGAAGGATCACTGGAGCCAAGAAAGTCAAAGCTGCAGTGAGCAGTGACTGCATCACTACACTCCAGCCTGAGTGACAGAGTGAGACCCTGTCTCAAAAAAACAAATAATAAAATAATAAAAGTACACTCCATTATGGAAAAACCCATAGAACTCTCATATAATCCCTCAGAAGCAAAGCAAGTAAACAAGACAGTCTTAGCCAAATGAAACAAGGCAAAGAAAGGGTAATGCAAGCAAAAATAAAAGGTAAGTAGGCCGGACGCAGTGGCTCATGCCTGTAATCCCAGCACTATGGGAGGCTGAGGCACACAGATCATTTGAGGCCAGGAGTTCGAGACCAGCCTGGCCAACATGGTGAAGCCCTGTCCATACTAAATATACAAAAATTAGCTGGGCATGGTAGCTCGTGCCTGTAATCCCAGCTACTAAGGAGGCTGAGGCAGGAGAATCGCTTGAACCTGGGAGGTGGAGGTTGCAGTGAAGCAAGATTGCGCCACTGCACCGCAGCCTGGGTGACAGAGCAAGACTGCATCTCAAAAAATAAAATAAAATAAATAAATGGTATATAAATAAACTATATTATGCTTATAGGTTAAATATGAGCAGAAGTGATTACCACGCACTAAACAAGATTAGTATAATCTTACACAATAAATTTAGTAGAGATACTATTAAATAATAAGAATGATTATTCACTAAACAAGAAAGACACTGTCTACTTATATGTAAAACTTAGAGACATTATTAAACTAAGGCTTAACAAACTAATTTATGATATTCCCTTTATCCTTTTACAGATGAAAACAGTGTGGCACACAGAAGTTCACTTGCTTAAGGTCACATCTGGCAAGTGAGGAGTTGGAATTCACAGAGTACACTATATTGCCTCTTTATAAAACTCCAAACCTGCCCCGTAGGAGTTTACAGCAATGAGGATTACGGTATTTTGAAGCGATTTTGATTACTAGTAAATCTATTACTTAGAAGTAAATGAGATCTTAAACTTCAAAAACTGCTCTAAGTATAAATTCAAAACTGAAGCACCAAAAGCATTTTCAATAATCTCAATATCCTAGTATTTATGTTTTTTTAAAAAAGGATAAGCTGGCTGGGCGCAGTGGCTCACGCCTGTAATCCCAGCACTTTGGGAGGCCAAGGTGGGCAGATCACAAGGTCAGGAGTTCCAGACCAGCCTGGCCAACATGGTGAAACCCGATCTCTACCAAAAAATACAAAAATTAGCCAGGCATGGTGACGTGCACCTGTAGTCCCAGCTACTCGGGAGGCTGAGGCAGGACAATTGCTTGAACCCAGGAGGCAGAGGTTGCAGTCAGCTGAGATTACGCCACTGCATTCCTGCCTGGGTGACAGAGTGAGACTCCATCTCAAAAAAAAAAAAAAAAAAAAAAAGATAAGCTATAATGCAAATCTTTTTTTTTTTTTTTTTTTTTTTTTTTAAGAGACAAGGTCTCACTCTGTCACCCAGGCTGGAGTACAGTGGCAATCATAGCTCACTGCAGCCTTGAACTCCTGGCCTCAGTCGATCCTCCCACCTCAGCCTCCCAAGCAGGTGGGACTACATGGGTGGCTAGTTTTTTATTTAGAGAAAGGGTCTTGCTGTATCGCCCAGGCTGGTCTTGCCTGGCCTCAAGCAACCCTACCACTTCAGTCTCCCAACTAGCCAGGATTACAGGCCTGAGCCACTGCAGCCACTGGTCATTTTAAAAGAAGTAGTTTCCATTTTTACCCTATGCTAACAGGATCTGTTCGGTTATTACAAGAAACCATACAAGCTGGTACAAACTGGTCACACTGGAGCTTTCTCAGACAAATCCCATAAAAATCATCAATAACACAGCAGTCACTTTAGCATTTTCCAATACTATCTTCAAAGTTCTTTTCACATCTATTCTTCCATTTGAGTCTTAAAGAAACCTCATGAGGAAAGGAATCTGTACTGACATGTAAAAAAAAACTCAGAAAAGGTGAAAGATTTTGCCTGCACAGAGTTACAGAGAGAGTGTAAACAATGCCAGTTGCAGAACCCAAGTCTTCTGATGCCCAGCCCAAGTCTTTTCCAGTTCACCCAGAGAAATCTTGTGCCTCCCTTGATGCTTCCAAAGATCACAATGCTACAAGGTGAGCCTCCCTGGGAGAGCTGCTCTTTACAGGGGGCTCGGTAGGAAGCAGAGGCAGGCAACAGGGCTAGGTCTTCAGTCAGGCCTGGTGAACAAACAAGCGCTACTGGTACAAAGAAAGGGGCAGGCAAAGCTAGATTTGATTTCGGTCCAGTATCAGCTGAAAACAATTGAGGATTGCATGGCGGTCAATGACCCCACTGTTCAGGCAGCGTGGCAAAAGACACTAGGAGACTTTTTAACATTCTTAGCCATGAACATTCTTAGCCCTGTGAACAACAAAAACAACAACAGTTACCCAGATCTGAGGATCTTTCATGGGACCCGAATTGAGGAGTAGGTGGGAGTAGGGACAGAATCTACTCTGGTGTTTTTGCTCTCTGGTCACCTGCTGCAAACTGACAGAGCACAACACTTGAATTCACTGACATCCATTTTCTTAATCTCAAGACACTTGCTCAATCAGACAAAAGGAAAAAGAAATCCTTCTCTGATGGGAAACTAGCATTTATCTATTATATACAAAGAGATTTTAAAAGCCCCAGGAGAACTACAAATAATCTCGAAGCTCAGATGTGCTGAACAGAAGTCTAACCAGAAAACCTTCTACTCATCAGCACTTCAGAAATTATCACAGGAGCAATGTTCAGAATCTCACAATAAGTTTATTAAAAATGTAATTCAAGAAAGTACCAACAGAAAAGAATTAATACGTTTTCTTCTCTCACTACATCCCAATGTAACAACAAAACCTCAAACTCCTGCAGAACATGGTTACTTATTGATTCCATTTTCTTTTTTCACTCTCAGACATAAATATAAACAAAATTTCTACTGTGGAAAAACATCTTCAGGGGACTTTTAACCATGATCTCTAGCACAAAGGGCTTGTGGCTTGTTTTAATGTCTCTAAGCTACTTGACTAGTTTCTCTTTCACTGAGAAAACTGCTACAAGTATTTTCTGCTGCATCTGCACTGCAATGCTAAGTTTCAAGTGCCAATGAGCTTGTGATTTATTCTTTATTTTACAAAAGTATTTAATCAGCCTCAGTGTTACTTTGAAAGCTTCTCCCTGGACAGGCGGCCCAACTTCTAATGTTATGAATGGGCTGGAAAAGCCTCTACTTGAGTTTTTAAAGGATCACATCCAATAGTAAATGTAACCGAACTCTAAATTCCAACCTATAATTGAAATTATTATTATTATTGAGATGTAGTTTCTTTTCTTTTTTTTTTTTTTGAGACGGAGTCTCCCTCTGTCGCCCAGGCTGGAGTGCAGTGGCACAATCTCAGCTCACTGCAAGCTCCGCCTCCCAGGTTCAGGCCATTCTCCTGCCTCAGCCTCCCAAGTAGCTGGGACTACAGGTGCCCGCCACCACGCCTGGCTAATTTTTTGTATTTTTAGTAGAGACGGGGTTTCACTGTGTTAGCCAGGATGGTCTCGATCTCCTGACCTCGTGATCTGCCAGCCTCTGCCTCCCAAAGTGCTGGGATTACAGGCGTGAGCCACGGCACCCGGCCAAGATGTAGTTTCACTCTTGTCGCCCAGGCTGGAATGCAATGCCACGATCATGGCTCACTGCAACTTCCACCTCCTGGGTTCAAGCAATTCTCCTGCCTCAGCCTCCTGAGTAGCTAGGATTACAGACGCCCACCACCATGCCCAGCTAATTTTTGTATTTTTAGTAGAGATGGGGGTTTCATTTAGCATGTTGGCCAGGCTGGTCTCGAACTCCTGACCTCAGGTGATCCACCACCTTAGCTGGGATTACAGGCGTGAGCCACTGTGCTCAGCCTATAATTGAAATTAATAAAAAAAATTTTTAAACTAATTTAAAAACTTTAGGAATACATCCTCAAAAGACTCCTCTGGTTTTTAAGAGACTAGGAGCAAATCATTTCTCCAGCCCTATAAAAGGCTTTGTGAAAGCAGCAGACGCTAAAAAGAGCAAGGGTAGTGATACATCCCATTTGGTGATTTTTTTTTTTTCTCCTTCCATCCCACTCCACCTCTGTTAACCATCTGTGGTAGATTAGATTATTATTCAGCCAATATTCACTCCCTCCCCCAGCCTGGCCAAGGGAGGAATACACCTCTCTCCAGTGATGTTATAGGCTTGGCTCTGTAGTTTGCTTGGCTGCATGGTGGTTGCAGTCTACTACCCACTCCTAAGTCTTTGGGCATGATCATGTGACTTGCTTTGGTCAATGCAATCTTAGCAGATGTGGCATAACCAGACATTTGAACTATGCTTATGCAGTTGGCCTTGACTTCTTGTACTTCTGCTGGTGCCTTGAGAAAAGCTTATCATGGATAGCCACTGCCCCTTCAGCCTGGGCCCCAGAATAAGGCATACAAATAAGAACTGCCCTCACCGATCCACACATCTACCTACAAGGAAGCAGAGCCCTGAGTGAGAATACATGCTCTGAACTGCTGAGTTTGGGGGAGGTCTGTAATGTAGAGTTACTATAGCAACTTGTTTTTAAATAATGGTTATGTTGGCTCAGAAAATGCAATAAAAACGAACAAAGACTTAGAATCGCAAGTCCAGAATCCCTTATCTGTAACTTTTAGGACTAAATGTGTTTAGAATTCAGATTTTTTTGGATTTTGTAAAGGTACTATGCAAATGCCAGAAGTTATATAATGCCCCTACAGGGTCTTAGAAGCAGAAAAGCAAACAAATTATTAAGCTATAGTGAAACAAATGAATAGTTTTAAATCACATTAAAAAAAGAAAATAAAGACGATAACTAGGCCAGATTTTGCTGTTAAATTAGTTATAAAAAACCTTGGCCAGGTGCAGTGGCTCGCACCTGTAATCCCAGCACTTTGGGAGGCTGAGGCGGGTGGATCACGAGGTCAGGAGTTCGAGACCAGCCTGGCCAATATGGTGACACCCCACCTCTACTAAAAATACAAAAATTAGCCCAGTGTGGTGGCACACGCCTGTAGTCCCAGCTACTCGGGAGGCTGAGGCAGAAGAATCACTTGAACCTGGGAGGCGGACGTTGCAGTGAGCTGAGATTGTGCCACTGCACTCCAGCCTGGGCGACAGAGGGAGACTCTGTCTCAAAAAAAAAAAAAAAAAAAAAAAAAAGAATAGCAAAAAAAGAAAAACCTTTTAGTTTTCGGATTTCAGAACTCTGGATATGAGACTATGGTCCTATATACCTTTGTATAATTATAAAGAATCTTTCCCAATAAGTTATTTAATTTCAATAACTCTATAAGGGAGATATGATTATTCAAAATCATTGTCTAAAATTCTGAGGAAATGGACAGAATACAACTAATTTTTAATGAAAAATGATTATTTACGTCTAATTAATTTGTAAATCACTTGTTATATTTAGCATTGCCTGCAGTCTTTCTTTTGCTTTGATCAACTTAAACAAGAAACCGTACAAGGCGTTGTGAAAAGCCAATACTAATACCTTTTTCCTCACTCTCATCCAAGCAAGAGTATTAATATCTTTCAATCAACAAACATTTACTGGGTTTCTTCTATATAAGCACACACTTGATGAGGGTTGGGAATTCTAATTAATCAGGTATTACTTCTGTTTACTTAAGGAGCTTACTATCTCTAGAGGGCAAAACAAGTAAATTTTTATACTGGTTAGATATTGAAATAAAAATATGTTAGGTATATTGTGTTAAAATAAATTATTCACATTGGTTTCATCTGTTTCTTTTTGCCCCCCTTTTTTTTCTTTTTTTCTTATGGAGTCTCGCTCTGTAGCCCAGTCTGGAGTGCAGTGGCATGATCTCGGCTCACTGCAACCTCCACCTTCTGGGTTCAAGCGATTCTCCTGCCTCACCTCCCGAGTAGCTGGGATAACAGGTACACGCCAACACACCCGGCTAATTTTTTGTATTTTTAGTAGACACAGGGTCTCACCATTTTGGCGAGGCTGGTCTCGAACTCCTGACCTCAGGTGATCTACCTGCCTCGGCCTCCCAAAGTGCTGGCAGATTACAGGTGTGAGCCACTGTGCCCAGCCTTTTTTTAAAAAAAAAACGAAGTCTCACTCTGTTGCCCAGGCTGGAGTGCAGTGGCGCGATCTCGGCTCACTGCAAGCTCCGCCTCCTGGGTTCACGCCATTGTCCTGCCTCAGCCTCCCGAGTAGCTGGGACTACAAGTGCCTGGCACCATGTCTGGCTAATTTTTTGTACTTTTAGTAGAGACGGGGTTTCACCGCGTGAGCCAGGATGGTCTCCATCTCCTGATCTGGTTATCCACCCGCCTCGGCCTCCCAAAGTGCTGGGTTTACAGGCGTGAGCCGCTGCGCCCGGCCACCCAGCCTCTTTTTACATTTTTTTTCTTTTTTTCTTGACAGAGTCTGGCTCTGTCGCCCAGGCTGGAGTGCAGTGGCGCGATCTCCGCTCACTGCAAGCTCCGCCTCCCGGGTTCACGCCATTCTCCTGCCTCAGCCTCCCGAGTAGCTGGGACTACAGGCGCCCGCCATCACGCCCGGCTAATTTTTTTTTTTTTGTATTTTTTAGTAGAGATGGGGTTTCACCGTGTTAGCCAGGATGTCTCGATCTCCTGACCTCATGATCCGCCCGCCACGGCCTCCCAAAGTGCTGGGATTACAGGGGTGAGCCACCGCGCTCGGCCTTTTTTTACCTTTAAAAATGTGTTTATGGCTAGGCACAGTGGCTTGTGCCTGTATCCCACCACTCTGGGAGGCCAAGGCGGGAGGATCACTTGACTCCAGGAGTTCAAGACCAGCCTGGGCAACATAGTGAGGCTCCCATCTCTAAAAAAATAAATAGCCGGCCGGGCAGGGTGGCTCACGCCTGTAATCGCAGCACTCTGGGAGGCCGAGGCGGGCGGATCACGAGGTCAGGAGATCGAGACCATACTGGCTAACACGGTGAAACCCCGTGTCTACTAAAAATACAAAAAAATTAGCCGGGCGTGGTGGCGGACGCCTGTAGTCCCAGCTGCTGGGGAGGATGAGGCAGGAGAATGGCGTGAACCCGGGAGGCGGAGCTTGCAGTGAGCTGAGATCGCGCCACTGCACTCCAGCCTGGGCGACAGAGCCAGACTCCGTCTCAAAAAATAAATAAATAAATAAATAAATAAATAAATAAATAAATAATAGTATGTTTATTAGAAAATTTAAAATAGGGATAATCACCTTGTGGTTCTCCCAGTCTGCATGCTAATAAATTTGTATGCCTTTTCTCCAAAAGAAAAACAAAACAGGTTTTTTTTTTTTTTGAGACAGTCTCACTCTTTTGCCCAGGCTGCAGTGCAGTGGCATAATCTTGGCTTACTGCAACCTCCTTCTCCCGGGTTCAAGTGATTCTCCTGCCTCAGCCTCGCTTGGGAGCAGCTGGGACTACAGGCGCGCGCCCCCACGCCCAGCTAATTTTTTGTAGAGCCGGGGTTTCGCCGTGTTGTCTGGTCTCGAACTCCTCAGCTCAAGGATCCGCCCCGCGGCCTCCCAAAGTGCTGGGATTACAGGCGTGAGCCACCGCCCCGGGCCTCACATTTTATTTCTATTGGCTAGCGCTGCTCTAAATCTTCTGTTCCTTCTGCTACACCAGGCCTAACACTCAAAATCCCTGCCAACCTTTTCCTTCCTGAAGCTTCCCTCCCCTTCCTCAGCTCTGGCGACCCTGCGCTGTGGTGGTTCTCCAACCACACTCATTCTCCTCAGCTGGCTCCTTGCTCTTCTTCCACCCCCTCGTTGCAAGTGTTCCTAAGTGTTTGCCTTGGCCTCCTCTTCCCCTTCCTTAGCTTAGACTTCTCCACTGCTCCAACATCAACTGGAAATCTATGGAATTGATTCCTGTTTTCAGCTCCAGTCCTGTTCACAGGGCATTTTCACCTGCTGGCACTTCCAAAGTGACACTTCCAAACCACTTCCTCGCCCTCCTCTCTAAACCAGGTCTTTCTTCCTAACTTCCTTATTTCTGAGAATGTCTCTGCCATGTTCTAAACTGAAAACCTCCTAGTCAACTTCACACTTTATTCCCTGATCCTCAATTGGTTCCCATGTCCCGTTAGTGTTTCTTGTAAGCCTCTGCCACCACCGCAGATCGAACTCTAATCACATCTCACCTGAATTATGGAAAAGTCACCTCAATTCTCTCACCCATCCCAGCCTCCACTATGGATTAATATGCCTAAAGCAGAGCTGACCACAACGGTGAGAAGAATCTGAGAGGGAAGCAGCAGCAAACACAAGAGTCACTGGACATGCATGCCTCGAGACAGTCCCGACCAAGGAGAAAGCATCAGACCCCGTCTTCCGCCTCGAACAAGAGGCGTGCGGACTTCGCCCAGAATGCTCGTCGCCCCTGGACAAGGACACACCCGGGGCGTGAGGCGCGGAGTTTCACCAGTTGCTCAAGCAGACCCAGCCCAAGACGCTTCCTCTTTCTCCTACTCCACTCCAGTTCAGACGGCTACTAATCCCGGCCCAAGGCACCTGCGCCCTGAGACGTCTTCGAGCAAACAGCATTTCCGGACCAAGGCTCCCCGGAATCTCTCTCCACCCGGCCGCGCCCGAAGCCCGAGAAACGGGCCGCCCCTCCTGGTTTCCCACACGGGGTTCCCCAGCCCCAACCGGCCGCGCCCCGCCCCTCATCTTTTAGGACACCGGCTTCGCGGCCCGGGCGGCCACAAAGGGCCGGGCCCTGCCCGCGGCCGCCCATGTCCGCGGTGCCTTCCTGGCTTGCCCGGACTCCCCATCACGCACATACGCTTCCCCGCCGCCCCGCTGCCGCCGCGGCTCGTAGCTCAGGTTCCTTCCAGACCAGCCGCTGTTTTGTTTCCGATGTGAAACCGCGGACCCCGGAGCTGCCTGTCCCAGGCCCCGCCCGAGAACCCTCACCGTTGTCGTCATTTCCGGCTCTGGCGTCGTTGGCGGCCGGCCCACGGAGGAGGGGAGGAGCCAGGAGGAAGGGGGCGGGGCCTCCGGCCTGGAGAAACGATTGCGGGGAGAACCCAGAGCTCCACCTGGCCTTCCCCACCTGACGGAATCCGCCCAGAGCGCTGGCGTGGGTTGTCGGGGTTCTGAGGCTGCTCGAGCTGAGGACGAAAGCCCCTATATAAATTGGGCCCAGCGTGTGCTTCTCCCGGCATACAAGCGATGGCCATCCTAAATTTAACACCTGTCATTTCTTTAGGGTACCTATTTGCGAACCAGCTGCATCACAATCAAGAGAATGCTGTTAAAATCGCAAATATCTCTGCCCTCTCCCACCACTCAATGAATCAAAACTTCTGGTGGGTGGCGAGAACCTGAGAAACTGCATTTTAAACATCCTCCGCGATTCTTGGACTCCAACTTTGACAACCAGTCTTTCTAGGTGGCAAGCTAGCTGAGAGCAGAAAATGTGTCTGGTTTGCTGGGTCACTTGATTTTTGCATCTGCCTGCTCTTTGTCCAGTTTTGGTAAAGACAGTACCAATGTCTAATTCATTAGACAGCATACCACACTTACACATATATCCAAAAGCTAAAACTAAAAAATGAATACTACCTTATTTAATCAAGGTGAACGGAGAAATGTCAAACATGGGTATTCAAAAAACCGAAAATGAAATTAACGGTACATGGTATCTGGGCAAGTTACATTCTTCTAAAGTTTCTTTAAAAATCCACCCCCAAGCGGCCGGGTGCAGTCGCTCACGCCTGTAATTCCGGCACTTTGGGAGGCCGAAGCAGGCGGATCATGAGGTTGGGAGTTCTAGACCAGCCTAACCAACATGGTGAAACCCCGTCTCTACTAAAAATACAAAAAAATTAGCCGGGTGTGGTGGCGCGCTCCTGTAATCCCAGCTACTCGGGAGGCTGCAGCAGGAGAATCGCTTGAACCCGTGAGCTGAGATCACACCACTGCACTCCAGCCTGGGAGACAGAGCAAGACTCCATCTCAAAAAATAAAAATTAAAATTAAAAAATAAAATCCACCCCAAGCTATCCCTTCACATTCCTATCGCATCAATCTCCAATCCCTCCTCCCAACCCACTGCCAACCTTGTTCAAAAACATGAGATTCTAATACTTTTTACACACAAAAGCTTCATATTTAAGAACAAAAGTAATATTTTCCATTAGCAGAATGAAAGATAAGTTGTGGGAGAAGGTTGAACGAAAAAAGATGTTTTTAAAATTCTTCACCTCCCCCACTTTAACAAGAGTAGGGATTTTAGTTTGTTCATTTACAAGTGCTCATGCTTGTCAGCAGCACATATACATTTTACAAGTGCTGAGAACAGTGCCTGATACATAACAGTGCCTGATACATACAATAGTTCAGTATTGAACAAATACAGGCTAAAACCCATCTATTTGTGAACTACTTCAATCTGATTGCAGTCCGCTAATATTAATAGGATGTCTTAAAATGCTGATGAACTATTCTTAGAAACAATCTACAAAAATTTTGGGCAAAGATATTCATGGAATATTATATAGCAAAAAATTGGGAAACTAAATATGGTACAATAGGCAGGGTGCGGTGGCTCACGCCTGTAATTCCAGCACTTTGGGAGGCCAAGGTGGGCGGCTCATCTGAGGTCAGGAGTTCGAGACCAGCCTGATCAACATGGAGAAACCCCGTCTCTACTAAAAATACAAAAAAAGTTAGCCAGGCGTGGTGGCGCATGCCTGTAATCCCAGCTACTTGGGAGGCTGAGGCAGAATTGCTTGAGCCTGGAAGGCAGAGGTTGCAGTGAACCGAGATTGCGCCATTGCATTCCAGCCTGGGCAACAAGAGCGAAACTATGTCTCAAAAAATAAAAATAAATAAATAAATAAATAAATAAATAAATAAATAAATAAATAAATGTGGTACAATAAATTATGGTCCACCCACCTCACAGAATGTCATGAAAATTTTTCATGAACGCCTGGTCACGGTGGCTCATGCCTGTAATCCCAGCACTTTGGGAGGCCAAGGCAGGAGGATCACTTGAGGTTGGGAGTACAAGACCAGCCTGGACAACATGGTGAAACCCCGTCTCTATTAAAAATACAAAAATTAGCCCGGCATGGTGGTGTGGGCCTGTAATCTCAGCTACTCAGGTGGCTGAGGCTTGAATCTGAGAAGGAAAGTTTGCAGTGAGCCGAGTTTGCACCACTGCACTCCAGCCTGGGAGACACAGTGAGACTCTGTTTTTCCCAAAAAAAAAAAAAAGTCCTGCAACAAAAAGGCAGTAAGATTTTAAAAAAATAGCAAACCCTAACATTGAATAACCAGCCTTCAGATAATTTTCTTCTCATTTTCTTTATGTCCTACTGTTAGGCCTCTGAGCCCAAGCCTTCACGTATACATCCGGATGGCCTGAGGCAACTGAAGGACCACAAAAGAAGTGAAAATGGCCAGTTCCTGCCTTAACTGATGACATTACCTTGTGACATTCCTTCTCCTGGATAATGTCTCTGGAGCTCCCCACCAAACACCTTGTGACCCCCGCCCCTGCCCACAAGAGCACAACCCCCTTTAACTGTAATTTTCCACTACCTACCCAAATCCTATAAAACTGCCCCACCCCCATTTCCCTTTGCTGACTCTCTTTTCGGACTCAACCCACTTGCACCCAAGTGAAATAAACAGCCTTGTTGCTCACACAAAGCCTGTTGGTGGACTCTCTTCACACGGACGTGTGTGTCATTTGGTGCTGAAGACCCAGGACAGGAGGACTCCTTCGGGAAACTGGTCCCCTGTCCTCACCCTCACTGCATGAGGAGATCCACCTATGACCTCGCGTCCTCCCATCAATCAGCCCAAGGAACATCTCACCAATTTAAAATTGGGTAAGCGGCCTTTTCACTCTCTTCTCCAGCCTTCTCACTACCCTTTAATCTCCCTGTCCTTCCAATTCCAGTTTTTTCCTCTCTAGTAGAGACAAAGGAGACACATTTTATCTGTGCACCCAAAACTCTGGCATTGGTCACAGACTCGGGAAGACAGTTTTCCCTTGGTGTCCAATCACTGCAGGAACGCCTGCTTGATTATTCACTCACATTTCAGAGGTGTCTGATCACCACGGGGATGCCTGCCTTGATCCTTCACCTTGGTGGCAAGTACCACCTCCCCTTGGTGGCAAGTACCTCCTCCCCTGGGTGGCAAGTACCACCACCCACTCCAAGTCTCTACCCTCTCTTTTCTCTGGGCTTGCCTCCTTCACTATGGGCAAACTTCCACCCTCCATTCCCCTTTCTCCCTTAGCCTGTGTTCTCAAGAACTTAAAACCTCTTCAACTTACACTTGACCTAAGACCAAAACACCTTATTTTCTTCTACAACCCTGCTTGGCCCCAGTACAAATTCGACAATGGTCCCAAATAGCCAGAAAACGGCACTTTTGATTTCTCCATCCTACAAGATCTAGATAATTTTTGTCGAAAAATGGGCAAATGGTCTGAGGTGCCTGACATCCAGGCATTCTTTCACACATTGGTCCCTCCCTAGTCTCTGCTCCCAATGCAACTCGTTCCAAATCTTTCTTCTTTCTCTCCTGTGTGTTCCTTCAGTCTCCACCCCAAGCTCTGAGTCCTTTAAATCCTCCTTTTCTACGGACCCATCTGACCTCTCCCCTTCTCCCCAGGCTGCTCCTCACCAGGCCGAGCCAGGTCCCAATTCTTCCTCGGCCTCCACTCCCCCACCCTATAATCCTTCTATCACCTCCCCTCCTCATACCTGGTCTGGCTTACAGTTTTGTTTCGTGACTAGCCCTCCCCCACCTGCCCAACAATTTCCTCCTAAAGAGGTGGCTGGAGCTGAAGGCACAGTCAAGGTTAATGCTCCTTTTTCTTTATCTGACCTCTCCCAAATCAGTTAGTGCTTAGGCTCCTTTTCATCAAATATAAAAACCCAGCCCAGTTCATGGCCCATTTGGCAACAACTCTTAGATGCTTTACTGCCCTAGACCCAGAAGGGCCAGAAGGCCATCTTATTCTTTTTTTTTTTTTTTTTTTTTGAGATGGAGTTTCACTCTTTTTGCCCAGATTGGGGTGCAATGGCCCGATCTCAGCTCACTGCAACCTCCGCCTCCCGGGTTCAAGCGATTCTCCTGCCTCAGCCTCCCGAGAAGCTGGGGTTACAGCCATGCACCACCACGCCAGGCTAGTTTTGTATTTTTAGTAGAGACGGGGTTTCTCCATGTTGGTCAGGCTGGTCTCGAACTCCTGACCTCAGGTGATCTGCCCGCCTTGGCCTCCCAAAGTGCTGGGATTACAGGTGTAAGCCACCGCGCCCAGCCCTAAGGCCATCTTATTCTCAATATGCATTTTATCTGCTCCCAACATTAAAAAAAAAACTCCAAAAAATTGGATTCCAGCCCTCAACCTCACAACAGGACTTAATTAACCTCGCCTTCAAGGTGTACAATAATAGAGAAGAGGCAGCCAAGTGACAACGCATCTCTGAGTTACAGCTACTTGCCTCTGCTGTAAGACAACCCACAACCACGTCTCCAGCATACAAAAACTTCATAACATCCAAGCCACAGCTCCCAGGGGCTCCTTCAAAACCTCCTCGTGGACCTTGCTTCAAATGCCAAAAGCCTGGCCACTGGGCCTTGGAATGCCCACAGCCCGAGATTCCTCCTAAGCCATGCCCTGTCTGTGCGGGCCCCCACTGGAGGTCAGACTGTCCGACTCACATCGCCACTGCTCCTAAAGGTCCTGGAGCTCAAACCCAATGTTCCTTGGCCGACTCCTTCCCAGACCCACTCAGCTTAGTGGCTGAAGACTGACGCTGCCCGATCGCCTCAGAAGCCTCCTGGACCATCACAGATGCTTTAGGTAACTCTTACAGTGGAGGGTAAGTCCATCCCCTTCTTCATCAATACGGAGGCTACCCACTCCACATTACCTTTTTTTCAAGGGCCTGTTTCCCTTGCCTCCATAACTGTTGTGGGTATTGACAGCCAGGCTGCTAGACCCCTTAAAACTCCCCCACTCTGGTGCCAACTTGGACAACATTCTTTTATGCACTCCTTTTTAGTTATCCCCACCTGCCCAGCTCCCTTATTAGGTTGAGACATTTTAATAAATTATCTGCTTCCCTGACTATTCCTGGGCTACAGCCACACCTCATTGCCACCCTTTTCCCCAGTTCAAAGCCTCCTTCGCATCCTCCCCTTGTGTCTCCCTACCTTAATCCACAAGTATGGGATACCTCTGCTTCCTCCTCAGTGACCAATCATGCACCCCTTTCCATCCCATTAAAACCTAATCACCCTTACCCTGCTCAACGCCAATATCCCATCCCACAGCAGGCTTTAAAAAAGTTAAAGCCTGTTATCACCTGCCTGTTACAACATGGCCTCTTAAAGTCTATAAACTCTCCTTACAACTCTCCTATCCTACCTGTCCAAAAACCAGACAAGTCTTACAGGCTGTTCCAAGATCTTCGCCTTATCAACCAAATTGTCTTGCCTATCCACCCAATGGTGCCAAGCCCATATACTCTCCTATGCTCAATACCTCCCTCCACAACCCATTATTCTGTTCTGGATCTCAAACATGCTTCCTTTACTATTCCTTTGCACCCTTCATCCCGGCCTCTCTTCGCTTTCAATTGGACTGACCCTGACACCCATTAGCCTCAGCAACTTATCTGGGCTGCACTGCCACAAGGCTTCAAGGACAGCCCCCATTACTTCAGTCAAGCCCTTTCTCATGATTTACTTTCTTTCTGTCCATCTGCTTCTCACCTTATTCAATATTCTGACGACCTTCTACTTTAGAGCCCCTCCTACAAATCTTCCCAACAGGACATCCTCCTGCTCCTCCAACATCTGTTCTCAAAGGAATATCGTGTATCCCCCTCCAAAGCCCAAATTTCTTCTTCATCCATTACCTATCTCGGCTTAATTCTTCATAAAAACACACGTGCTCTCCCTGCTAATCGTGTCCAGCTAATCTCCCTAACCCCAATCCCTTCTACAAAGCAACAACTCCTTTCCTTCCTAGGCATGGTTAGATACTTTCGCCTTTGGATACCTGGTTTTCCTATCCTGACTAAACCATTATATAAACTCACAAAAGGAAACCTAGCTGACCCCATAGATCCTAAATCCTTTCCCCACTCCTCTTTCCATTCTTTAAAAACAGCCCTAGAAGCTGCTCCCCACACTAGCTCTCCCTAACTCATCCCAACCCTTTTCATTACACACAGCTGAAGTACTGAACTGTGTGGTCGGAATTCTTACACAAGAACCAGGACTGCGCCCTGTAGCCTTTTTTGTCCAAACAACTTGACCTCACAATTCTGGGGTGCCCTCATGTTTGCATGCGGCAGCAGCTGCCGCTTTAATACCTCTGGAAGCCCTCAAAAGCACAAGCTATGCTCCACTTACCCTCAACAGTTCTCACAACCTTCAAGCATTAATATCCTGCTCACACCTTTCACACTTACTGTCTGCCCCTCAACTCCTCCAGCTCTATTCACTCTTTATTGAAACTCCAACAGTAACTATTGCCCATGGGCCTGATTTCAACCCAGCTTCTCACTTAGCACCCAACACAAGTCCTGAACCACATCTTATGCCCAGCCCCATAAATAACAGTGAAAGGTTGCTCATAGACACTCGGTGCTTTCTCATACACCATGAAAATCGAACCTCCCCCTCTACGCAGTTACACCATCAATCCCCATTACAACCTCTGACAGCTGCCGCCGTAGCTGGATCCCTAGGAGTCTGGGTACAAGACACCACTTTTAGTACTCTTTCTCATCTTTTCACTTTGCATTTCCAGTTTTGCCTTGCACAAGGTCTCTTATCGCTCTGTGGCTCCTCTACCTACATGTGTTTACCTGCTAAATGGACAGGCACATGCACACTAGTTTTCCTTACTCCCAAAATTCAATTTGCGAATGGGACCAAACAGCTTCCTGTTCTCCTCATGACACGAACACTTCACTACTAGTTTTGTTTTTCTTATTATTAATATAAAAAGGCAGGAATAGGCCTCAACTTACTCACTGCTGAAAAAGGAAGACTGCATATTTCTAAATGAAGAACGTTGTTTTTACCTAAATCAATCTGGCCTGGTATGTGACAACATAAAAAAAACTCAAGGATAGAGCCCAAAAACTCGCCAACCAAGCAAATAATTACACTGAACCCGCTTGGACATTCTCCAACTGGATGTCCTAGGTCCTCTCAATTCTTACTCCTTTAATACCTTTTTTCTCCTCTTATTTGGACCTTGTGTCTTCCGTTTAGTTTCTCAATTCATACAAAACCGCATCCAGGCCATCACCAATCATTCTATATGACAAATGCTCCTTCTAACAACCCCACAATATCACCCCTTACCCCAAAATCTTCCTTCAGTTTAATCTCTCCCACTCTAGGTTCCCATGCCACCCCTAATCTCTCTCGAAGCAGCCCTGAGAAACATCGCCCATTATCTCTCCATACCATCCCCAAAAATTTTTGCCGCCCCAACACTTCACCACTATTTTGTTTTGATTTTCTTATTAATATGAGAAGACAGGAATGTCAGGCCTCTGAGCCCAAGGCTGCATGTATATATCCAGATGGCCTCAGGCAACAGAAGAACCACAAAAGAAGTAAAAATGGCAGGTTCCTGCCTTCACTGATGACATTACCTTGTGACATTCCTTCTCCTGGATAAGTCTCTGGGGCTCCCCACCAAGAACCTTGTGACCCCTGCCCCTGCCTGCAAGAGAACAATCCCCTTTAACTATAATTTTCCACTACCTACCCAAATCCTATAAAACTGCCCCACCCCTATCTCCCTTTGCTGACTCTTTCCCGACTCAGCCCACTTGCACCCAAGTGAAATAAACAGCCTTGTTGCTCACAAAAAGCCTGCTGGTGGACTCTCCTTACACGGACGTGCATGAAACTTACATTTTTAAAAAATTTTTGTTACTCTTTTTAGAGACAAGATCTCACTCTGTTGCCCAGTCTGGAGGGTGGTGGTACAATCAAAGCTCACTGCAGCAGCTTTGAGTTCCTTGCCTCCAGCGATCCTCCCGCCTCAGCCTTCCAAGTAGCTAGGACTACAGGCACATGCCACCTTGCCCGGCTTTTTTTGTTTTTGTTTTTGTTTTTTTTGTAGACACAAGGTCCTGCTATGTTGCCCTGTTTACCTTCATCTTTTTATAAATATGAACACCCAGGGGAAAGCCAGCAAGACACTGGGAAAAACAGACTACAGGAACAAGTAAAAAGTGATATCCTAGACACCAAGTAAGAGTCCCAAGAAGACAGGAAATGTACATGGTGCTAAAAGACAAACTAAGGAATAGCCTCTGTGAATCCTGAAAATTTTAGACAGGTCTCAGTTAATTTAGAAAGTTTATTTTGCCAAGGTTGAGGACATGTGCCCATGACACAGCCTCAGGAAGTCCTCACATGTGCCCAAGGTGGTCGGGGCACAGCTTAGTTTTATACATTTTAGGGAGACATGAGACATCAATCAACATATGTAAGAAGTACATTGGTTCAGTCTGGAAAAGTGGGACAACTTGAAGCAAAGGCAGAAAGACTCCAAGCTGGGAGGGGGCTTCCAGGTCACAGATAGGTGAGAGATGAAGGTTGCATTCTTTTGAGTTTCTGATTAGCCTTTTGAAGGGAGGCAATCAGATATGCATCCATGTCAGTGAGCAGCGGGGTAACTCTGAATAGAATGGGAGGCAGGTTGGCCATAAGCAGTTCCCACCTAGACTTTTCCCTTTAGCTTAGTGATTTGGGGTCCCCAAGATTTTCTTTTTATACCTCTTACATGCCCAGTTTCTCACACAGGCTGTCACCAGCCATCAGAGGAATGGTGAAGTACAAACTGGAATAGGTTGAGTGAAACTCAAGAAATTTGGAGGGCATATATAAAATACTATTTCTGTAATCTTGATAGTATAATGGAAAGGAGATAGGATCTAAGATAAATTTTTTGTGTTGTTCCTCCATGTTCCAGACCCGAGGGAGAAAGCAGATAAAGGAAATACCTGAGCAACATTCAAGAAACTGTAGAATGTAGTTAGAAAACAGTGCCATGGGGGAGAGGGTCTTCTAGATTGGGATGCATAGAGTACGTCTGCTTACAAAAACAGGGGTAAGGTGTATTCTGTCATAAACTGAAGAGAAGGTGCCTAATAATTGTTTTTTTAAATTAAAAAAAAGAAAAAGAAAAAAGAAAAGAAAGGATTATTTGCCGGGTGCGGTGGCTCACGCCTGTAATCCCAGCACTTTGGGAGGCCGAGGAGAGTGGATCATCTGAGGTCAGGAGTTTGAGACCTGCCTGGCCAACATGGTGAAACCCCATTTCTACTAATAATGCAAAAATTAGGCCGGACGCGGTGGCTCACACCTGTAATCCCAGCACTTTGGGAGGCTGAGGCGGGCAGATCACAGTCAGGAGTTCGAGACCAGCCTAACTAACATGGTGAAACCCTGCCTCTACTAAAAATACACAAATTAGCCAGGCATGCTGGCGTGTGCCTGTAATCCCAGCTACTCAGGAGGCTGAAGCAGGAGAATCGTTTGAACCCAGGAAATGGAGGTTACAGTGAGCTGAAATCTCGTCACTGCACTCCAGCCTTGGTGACAGAGCAAGACTCTGTCTCAAAAAAAAAAAATATATATATATACATACATAAAATAAAAAATAAAAAAATTAGCTGGGTGTGGTTGTGTGCACCTGTAATCCCAGCTACTCGGGAGGCTAAGAAGAATCGTTTGAACCCAGGAAACGGAGGTTGCAGTGAGCTGAGATCTCGTCACTGCACTCCAGCCTTGGTGACAAAGTGAGACTCTGTCTCAAAAAACTATATATATATATAATAAAAAATTTAAAAAAATTAGCTGGGTGTGGTGGCGTGCACCTGTAATCACAGCTACTCGGGAGGCTGAGGCAGAAGAATCACTTGAACCCGGGAGGCGGTGCTTGCAGTGAGCTGAGATCACACCATTGCACTCCAGCCTGGGCGACAAGAGCAAAACTCCATCTCAAAAAAAAAAAAAATTATTTACCAGATAAGGGAGAAATCAAATCACTTCTGGTCGTTCAGTATTTTTCAATACCTACTATAGCAATGAAGGTTCAAAACAGTAAAAGCTGCAGTGTATGAAAAGTAAACGACCAAATAACACTAAAGGTCCTAGACTCTCTACAGTGATACATTTTCTTTTGCTTCAGAAACGTTTGTAACTTAGGAAGAGGAACAGATAAGTGAATGATAAAATAAATGGTGGCAAAACCCAATAGTAAGTGGTAAAAGATGAAGCTGAAGGGCAGGGCATCAAAGAATTACTTGGGGGAGAGGGTTGTTAGACTAGAAAAGCTGCATCAGTCACTACTAAAGTCAGGGCCTAGGCAATGGGAAAACAAAAACCAGCTCTTCACACTAATGATTCCAAAGGAATCTACCTCATTAACATTTTCACATAACAACAGTTTGCCTTAATTTATGCACAGTGTCGCTGCCATGCTTCTTATATAGGAGGAAAGAAGAATTGTTATGAGATTAAATATTGCCGTCAAGGCTTGGTGCATGGCCACATTTTATCTTAGTAGCTCTCACGTCATTTGAATTCTTTGCAAGCATGGGTTTCCTTAGATTGCTTAAAATCACGGGCTGTCATATCTTCCTCATCTTGTTCTAGCCTTAAGTTCTGAATATGTGTTGGGATTCAATCAGGCTGGTGGGAAAAACATTAAAGATTGTTACAGAGACAGATACAATTCTTGGAAGGCCGAGAAGTTTGCATAGCTTCGGTGATAGATATGGTTGAAGGCAACCTGATCTTTACTTTTAAACAAATTAAAGTAGTAATAAAGGAAGGCAGAGTAGTTTACCTAGTTTGTTTAGTCATATGATCTTAAGACTAATCTTGGATGTACCACGGGGGGTTAAGTGCTTTTTACTTGGGAAGTCCACAATATCAATTACCCTCTAATGGTGTTGACTCAAGCCATCCTTAATCTTTTTGAATAAATGCAAGTCTCACTAGCTGACTGAGGCCTAGTTGCAACTGTTTTCAGAACTCTCCAGGGAGTCTGTAAGCAGTGGGACACCCTCAGCTGGACTGGCAAAACAGACTATCTGTGTGTCAGTGTACTTTATTCATCTGTCGCAGGGTCAGGGTCTGTGGGCAGACCCCTGCAGCTGGTGCCCTGAGGCGCGCTGCCGCAAATGTTTGTCACTATTTTGTTAATTCTAAGTTCCTTCTTTAACCAAGAACCTGGACCCTCTCATTTAGAAAGTTGCCTCGACAGTATACTGAACAAAGTAAAACTTTGTTTTGGTACTTTTCTATCTACAGTAACAGACCAGTCTCTTCACCTGGGTACATTTACAAAACTGTAAATTGACAGGAAAAGATTAACTTTCATGTTTTTGGATTCTACAATGTGAAATGCTCACTAGTTTTTCCTTTATCAAAAAAGCTTATGCCTGTAATCTCAGCAGTTTAGGAGGCTGAGGCTGAAGGATCACTTGAGACCAGCCTAGACAACACACTTCATCTCCACACAAACACAAAAAATAGGAGGCATGGTGGGGTGCACCTGTAGTCCTAGCTACTCAGGTGGCTGGGACAAGAGGATCACTGAGCCCAGGAATTCGAGGCTGCAGTGAGAGCCACGATTGTGCCCCTGCAGCTTTACAGGGAATCCTTGTCTCTAAACAAATAAAAAATGTCGGCCAGGTGCAGTGGCTGACACTTGTAATCCCAGCACTTTGAGAGGTCAAGGCATCGTTTGAGCTCAGGTGTTCAAAGCCCACCAGGGAAACATGGTGAAACCCTTCCTCTACAAAAATTAGCTGGGTGTGTTGGTGTGCACCTGTGGTCCCAAGTACTTGGGAGGCTGAGGTGGGAGGATCACTTGAGCCCAGGAGGCAGAAGTTGCAGTGAGCCAAGATCTTGCCACTGCACTCCAGCGTGGGTGACAGAGGCAGACCCTATCTCAAACAAACAAACAGAAAGATTTCACGTGAATGCATGTAAAACTACTTGTCATTAGTGGTTATTTAATAGTGCAATGCTAGACCATGAATTAGAACCCCATATATACTCCTCTAGATAAACCACCTGCAGGGACTACTGACATAATTACAATGGGCAAAACAGACTAGGTGACCTCTAAAGCCCCTTCCACATATTACTACTTCTACTGAGAATCTTCCTATTTCCCATTTCCTCTCAGCTTATCACATTTGATAATTCACATAGTATTTTGTATTTATGTCTAATGATGTTCCTGAACTCGTGTAATTTTTTTTGCCACCATTAGATGATCAGCTAACAGAAATACATGTATTTTTTTGAGATGGAGTTTTGCTCTTGTTGCTCACGCTGGAGTGCAGTGGCGCAATCTCGGCTCTCTGCAACCTCCACCTCCTGGGTTCAAGATGCTGTCTCAAAAAAAAAAAAAAAAGTAGACAGACTCAGGAGTGTCATTTAATTCAAACAACATGGCTTGAAAAGAATTTTTATTTTTGTTTCTAGAAATTATCTTCTTTACCTGGGTATTTTAGACTGCCATTCTTTAATTTCGCCTTCATGACTCAAGTAATGAAATGCAAAGATTCTGTCAATTAAAAATGTAAGCATTCAAATGCAAATAAATTAACATAAATATTTCAGTATTTTACCATAATCACATTACAAAAAATCTATCAGTTTATCAAAAAGTGTAAGTTCACTTCGCTCTATAGTATGATTGTTATATTAGTAGCTCCTGGGTTTGGTATGTATCTCCCTGTTTTCTTCTTGACAGCTAGACTGTTTCTTTGCCTGCTTGGGATTCCTTCTCATACCCTTTTATCTCCAGTGACATTCACAAATCAATCCCTCATCATCTTTTGTTGAGCAAAACTATTTCTCAATTTCATACTTAACAGAAGACTGAAATACAACCCAGAGAAGTTTGTAATCAATTTGACATAAAACCTCTCAGCAGTCTTTTGGGTATAAATTGGGGATATCATAAAACCTGTTAAAAAGAGTTGGGAAAATAAGCCTCATCTAAACATTGTATACCTGCTTACACTTATTTGCATTAAATTTATTCCATTAAAAAGGAGAAAAAAAGATAGTGTCTAGTTCAAATTGGCTCTCAAGCTAAATGTTTTCTCAGTTTTTCTACTATATCTAGTATTCATGGCAGATTAATACCTGAAACAGCACGCTTCACAAAATAATCATTAGCTTACACTTACATAGTTTACAGGGAAATGCCATAATAAGATTCAGAATAAGTTACAACATAAAGTTATCTACAGAAAAAATTTTCAGGGCTGGATGGAAAAAAAGCCTAGAATATTAGGGCTTTCTCAGACATAATTTTGCAAGATTACATTACGTTCATGAGTTACGTGTATTTGCCTCAAAAAATGTTTTTCTCTTTAAAATCTACTTAAAGGAAAATTCAGCTGCATTTATGTAGTCTGTTAGGATAAAATAATACTGAATAGACACCTTAAAGTGCTAATCAAAATGTAGTCTTGGATCAGTTGGCAATGACATTAGCTGGGAGCTGTCCAGAAATGCAAAGCCTGCGGCGCCACCCCAGCGCTGCTACTTCAGTGTCTCTATTTCTACAAGCACTCCTCAGATGATTTGGGGTCACATTAAAGTTTAAGAAAAACAACTTCAAACTTACCTTTCTTCCTTGTGAACAGATGTACATACTTTATTTTTAGGGACAAATAAAGAAAAGTAGTATTCTACTACTTTTTTGCCAGATCAAGACTGGTTCTTAAGATGTTCACGCTTTGGCCAGGCAAGGTGGCTCACGCCTGTAATACCAGCACTTTGGGAGGCTGAGGCGGGTGGATCACCTGAGGTCAGGAGTTTGAGACCAGCCTGGCCAACAAGGTGAAATCCTGTCTCTACTAAAAATACAAAAAATTAGCCAGGTGTCGTGGTGGGCACCTGTAATCCCAGCTACTCAGAAAACTGAAGCAGAATATCTCCAGAACCCGGGAGGCGGAAGTTGAAGTGAGCTGAGCTCGCGCCATTGCACTCCATCCTGGGCGACAAAAGCACAACTTCCTCTCAAAAAAAAAAAAACCCCAAAAAAACAACAAAAAAAGACTTTCATGCTCTTTATATAACAACTTGAAATGGCAAAATGAATTCATACTGTATAAGGTTTTCAAACTAAAATTAATTTATGAGATTATGGTAAAATTAACCCACAAAGTTCAAGCAACTTAATAGAAATTTCTTATGTGTATTTTCAGACACTAGAATATGCCTGTTTAATGTCTAATTCTTTATATATACAATTCTAAAAATCAACCAACTCTGACAATCTAAAGCCTTTTACTGAAGCTTGGTTACAAAACATGATTTAAACTGGCATTAAGCGATTAACAGTTTCTACCACATTTACTGTAACAATTTTCACTCTGCTGCAGAAACTTTAATATATGAACTTGCACAAATTCATATATTTAGTTGAGGTCCTGTCACAAACCTCACTGGAGATGTTATGCAGTACAGAGTACATCTCCCCAAAGGTTTCAGATTACGACATCTCCCTTGTTTTTAGAGTGGCCCTTTAAGATAAGTACAGTTGACAGAGCAGGAGAAGAAACGAAGCAAAGGAAATCAAATCTACCTGAATAAACCTTCATGTTAATAGTGGCTAAATAAAAACAACACAATATGATGCTTAAGAACAGTGCAGTATGTTAAGAAAAGACAGACACAATAAACTCCTCGAACAAGGTCTTAGGCTGGGGGTGTGTCTAAGAAAAGACTGAAAAATTAACGAAAATGGCAAGGGGCATCTTTTCTGAAATTTTCCGTTGAGAAACCAGAATTTAAAATAAAAGAGACATTTCCATAGATGTATAGTAGATTCATCCAAAATAATGTAAATGGCTTCCTTGACCTTTAGATACCAATAGTCATAAAAATCAAGTCCATAAAAAGTTCAGCCCATATTTTTAACTTTTCTAGTATGCACCACACAATTACAACATGATGCCATTTATTTACATGATTCTGAAAGAATATGAGTCCCCAGGATCAAATATATACATTTTTAATATTTGAAATATTTACATAATGGAACCACATCAGGGTTCGAGGGTAAGAACAGTGTTTTCAAATGTCCTCTCCAGGTGTGTTTAAAAAAAAAAAAAATCCAGTAATCCAAAGCTCACATTATGCTTTTTCTAACAGGCCAATCTTTACCTTTCTTTTAAATAAGTACTCAGACATGGGAACAGTTGCATCTAATTTGTGTGAAAAGCTGTTTAAAACTTCTTACGTTTTCAGGTAATTTTACTCCCTGGTGAAATTCTGATCTACAACGAAGAAAGCCCCAGGAATTTCTCTAAGCACATCATCAGTACATTTTTAAACACTAATGAGCCAAGGTAAAACAAGATATAAACCTTCTACAAGACAAAAATGAAAACAAATAGTTAGTGGTTGGTAACTGCCTTGAATGATTTACCTTTATCCTTAAATAACATGTAAACTTACAAATTGCCGAGCAGAATACCTATCATGTTTGTAAAACTCTCACTGTCTGTCAATTTGCCTAATTTTATTTCATTTTTTTGTTTTGTTTTAAAGGGGGTTTTCACTTACACTTTTTGGTATGATGAATTTTTTGTTAAATAAACAGATACAATAGAATTAAACTAAGGACCAATTAGTGCAAAAATGCATTAAATACAGCTCTCCAGGATTTTTAGGATATGCCTCATTTCTGAGCAATAAAATTAAAAGGAAAAATCACTATGATCCACATTCCTTTAAAAGAGAAGCTGAAGCAGCCATCTTATTAATAAGAAAACCCCATCCAGTTAGCAAACCACATTGCTCACGACACGAGAACACCATGCTCTGGGAAACTAATAACCTAATTATAACAGACATTTCAGGTTGGAACAGTACCACTTTTCCTTTACAATTCTATTCTTTAGTTGGGAAATGTTTTAAGGACCCCACCAAAGCAAATTAGGGAAAAGAAAGACTTTTACACATACATTCACAAACACATTCATACAGAAATACAGTAGGAATGGATTGTCTGCTAATTTTTGCATTCCAATTTTAAACTCCATGCCTTCACAAGGGCTTGCCATTTCTGATCAAAAGAGAGTGGGGGTGGTAATAGTTTATGACTGGTGTTTTCAATTAAAATTGTTCATGTTGGTTCCTATACAGTACATTTCAATATTAAGTGCAATTCTGCAAAATAATTGGGGAGTCGTTTTAATATTTACAAGAAACAAATCAGCAGAACAAGATTATATCAGATAGGCTGTGTACAGTAGCTGCGGCTTATAAAACATACCAGTAATTTGTACCTGGTGAGTATAAAGAGAACCAAGGATTCAGATGACTTTACAACCAAGGGAGTACACAGGGCAACAACAAATTAGAGGACCAAAAAATTCACATTTTCTACAAAAAAAAAAAATTACAGATCTCACAATGTCTTCAAAGACAAAGAAAAATTCAAAGTCCTTAAAAGGGTGGCAAAGAAGAAATCTGAAATGGAACTCTAAATATAAAAAGTTTTACTTCACAAGACCAATTTTCTTGGCTTCTGTTTCATATATCAATAATCTCCACATTTTGACTATAAAAACTTCTGCTTCTTCATCAAGTACCTAAAGAGGAAACAAAACAGCAACACATGTAAGAGAAGCAATCATCAACATCTGCCAAAAACAGTGGCCAGTATAAAAAAGTTTTTCATCCACTGACAATAAGCACTTATTACTTAAATGCTAGTTAAGATTTTAAGGTTGTTTTAGTGGCCGGGTGTGGTGGCTCACGCCTGTAATCCCAGCATTTTGGGAGGCCGAAGCGAGCGGATCACAAGGTCAGGAGATCAAGACCATCCTGACTAACATGGTGAAACCCCATCTCTACTAAAAATACAAAAAACTAGCTGGGCATGGCAGCGTGCGCCTGTATTCCCAGCTGCTGGGGAGGCTGAGGCAGGAGAATGACGTGAACCCAGGAGGCGGAGCTTGCCAAGATCGCGCCACTGCACTCCAGCCTGAGCAACAGAGCAAGACTCCATCTCAAAAAAGAAAAACAAAAAAAACAAAAAAGTTTTAAGGTTGTTTTGAGGGGATACATGAGATTCTGTATTGTTATTACATAGTTGTATATTTAGTTCTTCTTAAATTACTACGTTCTTTATAATACGTATTTGTTTTCCTTAGGAAGTAGTTTTGCTTTCAGTAAAATGACTTAAAGAAAATTTGTCCAGTGTGAGAAATGTATTATTAATAAATAGTAAATGGACCGGGCACAGTGGCTCACACCTATAATCCCAGCACTTTGGGAGGCTGAGGCAGGTGGATCACCAGAGGTCAAGAGTTCAAGACCAGCCTGGCCAACATGACGAAACCCCATCTCTACTAAAAATACAAAAATTAGCTGGGCATGGTGGCCGGCACCTGTAATCCCAGCTACTCGGGAGGCTGAGGTAGGAGAATCGCTTGAACCTGGGAGGCGGAGGTTGCAGTGAGCCAAGATCATGCCACTGCACTCCAGCCTGGTCAACAAGAGCAAAACTCCGTCTCTAAATAAATAAATAAATAGTAAATGTAAATTAACAACGACAACAAAAAAAAATCATTCAAAATTCCATGGCTTACTAAACACAAAGAGTACCATATTTTTGTGATCCACCTTTTATTCTTTTATTTTACCTTTACAGATACTGCAATTATACATGTCTGACAAAACTACTTCCCAAGGAAACCATACGCTTTTCATAAAGAACACAGTAATTTAAGAAGAACTAAATAATATACAATTACATAATAACAATACAGAATTTCATTTATCTCCAAAAACACAACCTCACAAACTTTTTTTTTTTTTTTCTGGAGACAGGATCTCTCTTGTCACCCAGCCTGGAGTACAGTGGCATGATCATGGTGCACTACAGCCTTGACCTCCCAGGCTCAAGTGATACTCCCACATCAGCCTCACCAGTAGCTAGGACTACAGGTGTGCACCACTACTCCTGGCTACATTTTTGTGCTTTTTAGTAGAGACAGGGTCTCACTATGTTGCCCAGGCTGGTCTCAAACTCCTGGGCTCAAGCAATCTGCGCACCTTGGCCTTCCAAAGTGCTGGGATTACAGGTTTGAGCTGCTGTGCACAGCCCAACCGTACCATCTTAACTAGCATTTATTGTGTATGTGACACTAAAGTGAACATTAAATGAGAATATAAGTATTTAGTACAGTGTCCAGAATACAGTAAACACAATAAGCAAATACAATCATCACGGGGCACACATGACTACTGAGTAACAAGTCTTCTTCCAGTGGTGGATGAGGAAATTGTCTTCCTCTCTACTTATGAGTTATAGGGTCCTTGTGTCCCCATCACTATTCCTGCCATCATCCCATACACACATCTGCCCCTCTACATTATGGCTGCTATGAGGTGAAATGGCCTACTCTGCTCCCTTCTGAAGGGGGCAGCTATGACTGTGCTCCAGAAATGTGGTCTAGTGTTGCCAGGTCTTCATAGAGGAAGTTTGGGGTAGGAATTTAGAGTACTCAATCTCTAGTCAGACTACATTGGTTCAAATTCTCTAGTCAGGCTACATAGGTTCAAATTGCACTGCTGCCTCTTACTAGCGATAGGTCCTTGGTTGGGTTACTTAACCTGAGCCTCAGTTCCCTCACCTCTAAAGTGGAGGCGATGTAGCTACACACCATAGCAGTAGGTACTAAGTGGGAATTAAAAGAGTTGGTATGTAGTTAAGTGCTCTGACAACTGACTGGTATATAACAAGTGCTTAATAAATACCTGGGAAGAGACTGGGCACAGTGGCTCACGCCTGTAATCCCAGCACTTTGGGAGGCCTAGGTAGGCAGATCACCTGAGGTCAGGAGTTTGAGACCAGCCGGGCCAACATGGTGAAACCCGTCAATACTAAAAATACAAAAATTAGCCAGGCGTGCGGGTGGGCACCTGTAATCCCAACTACTTGGGAGGCTGAAGCAGGAGAATTGCTTGAACCCAAGAAGTGGAGGTTACAGTGAGCCAAGATCGCGCCACTGTCACTCCATATAGCCTGGGAAACAGAGCAAGACTCTGTCTCAAAAAAAAAAAAAAAAAAAAAAAAAAAAAAAAAAGAAAAGAAGAAAGAAATTAAAAGAAAGAAATTTCTGTCACTTTCTCAATGATAGCAATAATTAATTAAAGAACTTTTGATCAGATTTCTATGAGCCAGATTTGACTTTAGTTGAAGAACTCTGTTGTAACACTAATTCACATCTGAGTCACACTTCAGAGAGATGTAGGCACAAAATGCAACCAAACTTCATTTAATTTACATAAAATGAAAAAGGTATAATATAAAGAAGTCAGACTTTTGTTAAGAGTGAAACAGTACTCAGGCTAAAAATTCAGTCTCCTCATTTATTCAAGAAATATTTACAAGGCCCCATGAGCTTTTTAGCAGAGCTGTTTGACAACACTAGCTCAACTGGTTTCCTCTCATTCTAATCAACGAGCCACAAAATCATAAACAGTGGTCTAAATACACTTCAAATATCAATATATTACAACAGATCAAAAAATCTAAAATTAACACTGACATGAAATCTTTACTATGTATGATAGGAACTCTGCTGAGGCCAAACGCTAGAACACAGTTTTATTTAAAAAATGTCTTCACTCAGGCCTAACTACGACACCCTCTACTCCAAGAAAAACGGGGCTGGAAGCTTCAGGAAAGTTCAGAATTCAGCCCCAAGGACTGAAATCTATTCACATTTCTCCTTTCCTCTGAGGCAATGAAGTTTTCACAAATGTTTTATCAGGTGTTCTAAATGACAGCTGCATCAAGCTAGCTAGGCAGCAGAAAAGGAATGTTATCTGGCTTTAGACACCATAAAATGCCTGGACACAAAGCAGCTAGACCTCACAATCCTTCTTTTTGACTATAAACCCCACGATGTCCCTCCCTGACATCTCTGGTGGCAGTTCCAAGTGCAAGTACTCCCAGTCATCTACCATTTCATATCATGCTTGATGATTTTTCCTTCCTTACTCATCTTCCCATTGCTGTCTTCCCGCTCTGCCCTTTGGACCGCTATTCCATTTTATACTACACATCAACAACTAAATTAGGTTTTTCCTCTTAACAGAAACCCTCCTCTATCTCCTAGAGCCCCGGCACTTCTCAGGCAGTCTCTCACTCTCAATGTCTTAATCTCCACAGGAATGACTTGTGGGTCTTCACTGTTTCTTTCTTGGTAAAAAAAAAAACAACTCCATGGACGTTCATGAGCTCTCACCACCTTATCCACTGTAAGAGCAGCTATCTGGCAAGTATCTAGTCTTTCCCCCCACTTAAATGAGTGCTCTGGCAACTATTTCCAGTATTTCTCTCCAATCTGACTCCCAATACCCAGGAATTTCCCATAGTCATACTATGCACCTTGCCATCGTCTGGGCTGACCTATCACATATAGACTTGAACTTTCTACACTCTGACCATAACCTCTCCTTTCAGTTGTTTTATTACAATTCGCCTTCCACAACTTCACTGGAACCACTAGTCCTTAATTCATTCAAACCACCAGCTCTATTCAGATACTATTTTCTTCTCTTCCTAACTTGGAGATCATAGTTCAATCTCTTGCTCAACCTTTACCATCAATTTTCTTCTCCTTTCCTTGTCTCACAAAATCACAGTGTTAACTACATGCTACCACTGACTGTAATCCCAAATTAAATGCAACGGGGATTTGATGTTTACTGTCAATACAACAGGTGTTTGGATACCTGTCCAAAAAGCAGCACATATGTACAATCTTGTGGCCATAAAAAACGAAATAGTGTCCTTTACAGGGACATGGATGGAGCTGGAGGCCACTATCCTTAGCAAACTAACACAGGAACAGAAAACCAAATACAGTATGTTTTCACTTATAAGCGGGAGCTAAATGATGAAAAAACATGAACGAAGAGAGGGGAACAACACACAATGGGGCCTATCGTAGGGCAGAGGGTGGGAGGAGGGAGAGGATCAGGAAAAATAACTAATGAGTACTAGGCTTAACACCTGGGTGATGAAATAATCTGTTCAACAAACCCCCATGACACAAGTTTACCTATGTAACAAACCTGCACATGTATCCGACTTAAAACACACACACACACACACACACACACACACACACACGTATCAGTTCCTGTAGTAATCCTTGTGATGCTTAACCTAACTGCTATCAATGCCATCAGATGTTCTATCTCCTCTACCTCCATTATCCTTTCTACATATCTAATTCAAACAAGTACATCAAGGTTCCAGTACCTGTATACCTATCTCTCTGCTACTACAGGTCATTTGTTCTACTTTTATGCTTCTAGCACATTGTGCTGGGCATAGGGAAAACATGAATGGAACTGGTGGAAAAGAATGAAGCCTTATTTATTTATTTAGAGATGGGGTCTCACTCTGTCACCAGGCTGGAGTGCAATGGCATGATCTCGGCTCACTGCAACCTCCACCTCACAGGTTCAAGTGATTCTCCTGCCTCAGACTCCCCGAGTAGCTGGGACTATAGGCACACGCCACCACGCACAGCTAATTTTTGTATTTTTCATAGAGACGGGGTTTCACCATGCTGGCCAGGATGGTCTCGATCTCTTGACCTTGTGATCCACCCGCCTCAGCCTCCCAAGTACTGGGATTACTCAAGTTTTAATTCAGGCCTAAAAAAGATTCTGGAACAAAGACAGGCAGGAAGTGAATCAAATTCAAAAGTGAGTTTATATAGATGTTAATTAAAATATTAATAATAGTGCATTTCTGGCCAGGTGTGGTGGCTGATGCCTGTAATCTCAACACTTTGGGAGGCTGAGGCAGGAGGATCACTTAAGCCTAGGAATTTAAGACTACCCTGGGCAACGTGGTGAGACCCCATCTATATTTTAAGACAAAAAAAACCAAAAACTTTTTTTAAATTAAAAGAAATAAAAATAGTGAATTTCTAACTTACCATGGCAACATCATCTAAAATGCTCTGGGGTGAACTATGAGCCATAACCTAAAAGAGAAAAATAATTGTCACATTAAAAATAAATAAAAAATTAACAATACAGTCAAGAAATTTTAAGGTATGAATCCTCAAATTCATACAGGAACTTCTTGCGGCTAAGGAACCATTCTATAAATGTTTTAATTTTCAGAATATCATTCTTCAACGAAAGAGGCACCAAAACCTGGAATATTAATCTCCATAGTGGTCTGTAGTCTAATTTTAAGTCAAATCTCACACAAGTTTTAATGCCACAATAATTACAAGTTAGAGAAGACAGAGTAAATTTACTGTTCATAATATCAAAAGAGCACTACTGGCAAAAAAATACCATAGCTATACCTTTATAGAAATATGGTGTTTCTACTATGTTAACTGTTTTATTAAAGTTAAGACTATGTTTTCAGGAGACAATGGGAAGATATACCTTAGTGGTTAAGAGCATGGGTTTCAGAGGCTAGACTCAGTATAAAACATAGCCAAGACACAATCTCTCCTTAAACTTCAATTTCTTCATGTATAAAATGGGTATAACATTCATGACAGACAGATTCTAAGTGTTAGGTTAAAAGAAGTTTTTCTTTTTTCTTTTTTTTTATTTTGAGACAGAGTCTCACTCTTGTCACACAGGCTTGGAGTGCAATGGCGCAATCACAGCTCACTTCAACCTCCGCCTCCCGGGTTCAAGTGATTCTCCTGCCTCAGCCTCCCGAGTAGCTGGGATTACAGGTGCCTGCCACCCAGCGCACCCAATTTTTGACTTTTTAGTAGAGGCGGGGTTTTACCATATTGGCCGGGCTGGTCTCAAACTCGTGACCACAAGTGTTCTGCCCCATTGGCCTCCCAAAGTGCGGGAATTACAAGGCGTGGGCCACTGTCTTGTTAACATTTTATAGAACTTTATCTTCGGCTGGTGTGATGGCTCACGCCTTGTAATCCCCGCACTTTGGGAGGCCAACTTGGGCAGATCACTTGAGGTCAGGAGTTCAAGACCAGCCTGGCCAACATGGTGAAACCCCATCTCCACTAAAAATACAAAAAATTAGCCTGGTGTAAACCAAACACCACATGTTCTCACTCATAAGTGGTAGCTGAACAATGAGAACACATGGACACAGGGAGGGGAACATCACACAGCTGGGCCTGTCGGCGGGTGGGGAGCTAGGGGAGGGAGAGCATTAGGAGAAATACCTAATGTAGATGACAGGTTGATGGGTGTAGCAAACCACCATGGCACATGTACTCCTATGTAACAAACCTGCACGTTATGCATATGTATCCTAGAATTTAAAGTATAATTTAAAACAAAAAAAGAAAAAAAAAATTAGCAGGGTGTGGTGGCATATGCCTATAGTTCCGGCTTCTCAGGATACTAAGGCAGGAAGATCAGTCTAGGCTGGGCGTTCAAAGCTGCAGTGAGCCATGATTGCGCCACTGCACTCCAGCCTGTAGGACAAAGCAAAACTCCGACTCAAAAGAAAAAACAAAAACAAAAAACAAAAAACAAAACAAAACAAAACAAACAAAACTAACACAATACCTGCCGAGAACACAGCCTGTCAGTCAATAAACACTGATCGTTACTACGATATGAAAGGAACTATTTTGATCCTATCCAAAGGATGGGTGACTGACAAAGGAGTTGGGAAAAGATATTGGCTACGTCCAAAAAATCTCAACATAATTATTCCAACCAAGACAAGAAGAAGATGGCACAGCATTCTCAGGGGCAGAAAGACAGCACACAATTGGCAGTAACCAGCAATTCCATCCTCCTCGACCACTGAAATAAAAACATGTGGTGTGAGGAGTCTGAAGTTGGATGGAAAGGTTCATTAAAGCAGACATAAATCTGCATCCACTGCAGTGAATAAAAAAAAACACACCAAAAATAAAAATAACTTTAAAAAAGCAGATATAAATCACTTAACTGAACCTAAACCATCATGGAACTTGACTCTGTAAAATTTCTGCTCTTTTAAGAAGTGTCTAATATTTTAATATATAAAATAAATGCTGGCATGGAAGAGAATAGAAGACTAACCTTAGAACAAACAAAATCAACTAATGTAGCTTCTTCTTCACCTATATATTCTATGATTTTCTTATTAATCCATGGTCTAATTCGACGTTCCATCAGTATCTGCAAAACAAACCACGGTTACTGAATTAAAGAATTGTAACTTGCTATAACAGTTATTAAAGCTTCATGATTTTTCCTGAGACTAAAATATAATGTTATTTCACAAGTTGAACTAAGACAGATATGTATCAAGATACAATCATCTGCTTTTAGTAAGTCTTCAAGTAGCACAAAAAAAATTTCCATTATTACTAATTTCTTGACCATGGCATTGAGTTGGTGTCAAGATGATCATCCCTACTTATTTGTCATTAATAGAATCAAATGAGGTTTTTTTTTCTTCAAATGAATTTGTATGGCATATTCCAACTGTTCCCAATAATATGATGAAATATAATTTCCTACTCACAGAATCCACAATAGACCAATCCAGGGGATAAGCGAAGAGCTCAGGTTTGGCTGTAGGGATTTTCTCAATGAGACTCTTAATGTGTTTACGCTTTTCTTCAGTGTTTACAGTGCCTTTGGTTGCATTTTTATCATCTTCACCATAATCCAAGGGAACCAGTTTCCTTTTTCGGGGTACGTCATCACTGTCTTCATCCTCAAATTTGTTAAAGACACTATCTACAGGTAGTTTCTTTCTCTTCACAGAATTAGGCTGACCAGGACTATTGGAAGCACCTACAGTAAAAACACTCTCTTAGCAAGATGACTTAATTTCCAAATGTTTCATTTTATAACCCACCATCCCTCAAAAGCAATGCAAAATATACTTCCACAAATCTTAGAGAAAGATCCCAACTGTAAAAAATAACTCACTACTCACAAGTGCTAGAAAATTAAACTTTTCACTTCTTCTCAGAACTCGAGGCAGCTGCAGATATAGGAGCACTAGTAAAACTATGAAAACAATCGTGAGCTAGAAAGGCATTTTTTAGTAATCTTCTATCTACCTAACCAAGCACAAATATAAATTTTTTTCTTTAAAGCACAATACAGGTATTTGCAGGGGTGAAGGGAAGAAAATAAAGAAGGAAGGAAATGCTAACGTACCCAGTTTAAGACTTAGTCCTATTTTTGGCCTATGCTCCTCAGGTTGCTGTTGATCTGGTGAGTTTTCATGAGGAATAATAATACCACAGGGAGACTCATCCCCAGGAGTGTTAGGTGTTGCATTGCCACTGGCAGAGGAAACAGATGGAGCAGAGCTGATGGGCCTCAGAGTAGGTTTCAGACAAGGCTTTTGCTCTGGCTCCTCTTCCTCTTCCATGGGTTCTTCTCGTTTTTCTTCTTTTTCTTGCTTTTCTTCTTCCTCCTCTTCTGATTCTGGCTCTTGCTTTATTTGTGGCTGCCTGCGCCTCTCAGCCTCTTGTTCCATCTAAAACCCAAACAATAATCTGATTAACTACAACTCTACACCATTCAACTTGATTTTTGTTTTACATTACCTCTTGTAAAATATCTTTATGAAAAGAGAAAAGGCCAGGTATGGTGGCTCATGCCTGTAATCCCAGCACTTTGGGAGGCCGCGGTGGGCAGATCATCTGAGGTCAGGAGTTTGAGACCAGCTTGGCCAACATGGTGAAACGCTGTCTTTACTGAAAATACAAAAATTAGCCAGGTGTGGTGGTGCACGCCTGTAATCCCAGCTACTCAGGAGGCTGAGGCAGGAGAATCGCTTGAACCTGGGAGGTGGAGGTTGCAGTGAGCCTTGCAGAATCGCACTACAGCCTGGGCAACAAAGCAAGACTCCATCTCAAAAAAAAAGAAAAAGAAAAAGAAAAAAAAAAGGACATGGGCAGTGGCTCAATCCTGGGTAACACAGGAAAACCCCATCTCTACAAAAAAGCATAAAGTATTCAGTCAGGCATTCTGCTCATGCCTGTAAGTGTCCCAGATACTCACGAGGTAGAGGCCTGAGGACCACTTGCCCAGGAGGCAGAGGGTGCAGTGAACAGAGATTCCGCTACTGCACTCCAGCCTGGGCAACAAAGCCAGACTCTGTCTCAGGGAAAAAAAAAAAAGGCCGGGCACGGTGGTTCACTCCTGTAATCCCAGGACTTTGGGATGCCAAGATGGGCGGATCACTTGAGGTCAGGAGTTTAATACTAGCCTGGCCAACATGGTAAAACCCCGTCGCCACTAAAAATACAAAAATTAGTCAGGAGTGGTGGCACGTGCCTGTAACCCCAGCTACTCAGGAGGCTGAGGCACGAGAATCCCTGGAGCCTGGGAAGTGGAGGCTGCAGTGAGCCAAGATGACACCACTGCACTCCAGCCTGGGCGACACAGCGAGACCCCATCTCAAAAAAATAAATAAATAAAAATAAAAATACAAAAATTAGCCAGGCGAGGTGGCACACACCTGTAATCCGTACTACTACTCGGGTACCTGAGGCAGGAGAATCGCTTGAACCCAGGAGTCAGGGGCTCTGTCGCCCAGGCTGGAGTGCAGTGGCGCGATCTCGGCTCACTGCAAGCTCCGCCTCCCGGGTTCACGCCATTCTCCTGCCTCGGCCTCCCGAGTAGCTGGGACTACAGGCGCCCACCACTACACCCGGCTAATCTTTTGTATTTTTAATAGAGACGGGGTTTCACCGTGTTAGCCAGGATGATCTCGATCTCCCGACCTCGTGATCCGCCCGCCTCGGCCTCCCAAAGAGCTGGGATTACAGGCGTGAGCCACCGCGCCCGACCAGATGGTACAGTATCTTACCCTCTGGAGCTCTGCATCTGGATCTGGATGCCCTTCTGCCAGAAGGCGCTGCCTGATTTCCTCAAGCTCCTCCTTCTCTCTCTTCCTATCTCGTTCATCTGCTTCCATTTCCTTTTCTCTATCACGCAACCTTTTCTGAAGAGCACTTCCTCTGTAAAAGTGAATGATAAAAGGCTTCATTTAATACTCCGATCATTGAGAAGTAAACATGACATCTCCAACAGCACCTCTTTTCAACATTACAACCTGCATGCTAAGAGGTTAAAGAATGTCTTAATGTTCTGTATCTACGGAACACACCAGAGTGTGCTCTCTACATGTAAATGTATAACAAGCATTATCTTGTCATTTATCACTATGTTCCCTTCATTCTTAAAGTCATTCTAATAAGTGTCTAAACAAGTAAAATAGTCACTTTCAGAAAGAGAGCTCACACTTTGTGCCTATTTCACAAGGAATACCCAACAAATAATTTTCGTTTTCCTAGATACCAACCTAAAAAAATATATCAAGTAGCATTAGTAGCACTGAGAGTTCTGTATCCTCAATTTATTCACTTGTAAAAATTATCTCAGAAAGTAGTGTAGAATCAACAGAAAGCAGAGGTTCTCTCCTATCTAGCAGTTCATTACTTCTCAGAATGTTGACGTTATACATTGCCACTTTATGCTTCTAGCCTTCAATATTTTACTGATTTCATGGCACTTTCTACAAAGCCAAATCCCTGGCACCCTTGAGATTTAAGCTACTAATTCCAATGTTTTAATTATTTTGGCTATACTGTATTAAATTTAACTATATTAAATATCTTCACTATGATTGTATCATGTCAGACAAATTAGAGATAAAATAGTATCAAGACACTGTCTACATCCCCAGGGAACTTACAGTTTGGATGGAAGGAAGAACAAAACAAGCAATTTTGGCATAATGTCACAAATACTAGAATGAGAGTAGTTTGAAAATGCCATGGGAACAAAGAATGAGAGAAGGCAGTTGTCACAACTGTTACTTCACAATAATGTATCAATTTGGAGATGGGGTGAGAGACGGGAGGTCAAATTGCTAGAAGACCAAAATTTCTAGAAAAACCCAGATAGTTACAGAGATTCGTTGTAACTTGCTATAAAAATTGGACCTAGCACACAGGTGTGGTAGCCCACACCTATAGTCCAACCTACTCAAGAGACTGCAGAGGGAGGACTGCTTGAGCCCAAGAGTTCAAGGTTACAGTGAACTATGATCATGCCCCTGCATTCCAGCCGAGGTAAGACCCTGTCTCTAAAAGAATCAAGAAAAAATTTTAAAAATCAGACCTATTTACAACACACAAAGAAAAAAATAGTATTGTTTGATATAATACTATCATGGGCTCCCCCACTGCACAAAAGATGCATAGAAATGTTTATCCTTTTCTGATAGCTCTTTTCTCCCAACGAAAACAGTGTATTAGCTATAGAATTAATAATTACTCAGAATGTGAAAGTTTGTTTTTCTTATTCCACTTAGTGAACATGCATTATCAACTGTGCAGATGGAAAAACACAGCTAATAAAAAACCAAGTATGAATCCACAGAACAAGCCTTCTTTACCTGTAATATTTGGGGTCATCTCTATCATCATCATAGTCTTCTAAGAATTCTTTTAGTCGTTTAGCTTCTTTGGCCTTTGAGGAAATAAGGACAATGTATAAAATTAACATACAAGTAATAAAGATTACTCTTCCCTTTTTTGTGTAAACAGATTTTTCTGACCCAGACATAAACCAAGAGTAAGAGGGAGACTTATAGGAATTTCTCTTCACATAATTTTAAGACAAACATGGCCGTTTCAATAAATGAAACTAAAGTTTCTCCTGGATCCCAGAATTCAAACCATATTTATAAATGTATATGTATTCAGCTATTTGGTTTAAATAAACTTGTTGGGCTAGCCTGGGAAACGGTGTTTTTATTATTTTCTATAGAGAAAATATTTTCTAATTTAAGTTGGAGCTATCTGTGCAGCTATCTCTCTACAGTTGTACATAAAATGTTTTTACTGTAAAATGAGATATGTATAAAATACCACTCTATGCCATAATAAATATAATAATACTTTGGTTAAAAAAAAGATTTTTCTTGTCCTCTTAAATTTTAGTTTTCATATACTCCATATATTAAGTATAGGTCACATTAGACATTTTAAATTTTTTACCTCTAAGAAAAGTCTGAATGAGGACGCATCTGTAAAATGCAAACTATATATATACGCTACGCTACAATAAATATGCTCTTTGAATATAATCTTCAAAATACAATACCTAAGCACACCAACAAAACTGGAGATTATCTTATTAAACGAAAAAATATGGCTGGGCGTGGTGGCACACGCCTGTAATCCCAGCACTTTGGGAGGCCAAGGCAGGCAGATCATTTGAGGACAGGAGTTTGAGACCATCCTGGCCAACATGGTGAAACTCCGTCTCTACTAAAAATACAAAATATTAGCTGGGTGTTGTGGCACACGCCTGTAATCCCAGCTACTCGGGAGGCTGAGGCAGGAGAATCGCTTATCGCTTGAACCTGGGAGGAGAAGGTTGCAGTGAGCCGAGATCACACCCCAGCCTGGGTGGCAGAGCAACACTCCGTCTCCACAAAAAAAAAAAAAAAGTATATACATATATATGTATACATGTATGTATATGTGTATATGTATATGGTTTTTAATTCCATTTTTAAGGTAGATGATACTATAAGAAATAGTTTTTAAGAAACGCAGAAATTTAAATCATGTTCATCAATCAATTTAAAGGTAATGCCCCCCAACTCTAAACCAATAGTAAACAATCCATGAGATAAAATGAATCTCTTAACTTACGGAATTTCAAATGCAACTATTATATCTAATAACAACAGTTCAACAATTTTAAAAATATGCAGATTCTTAAAAATAAGTTAATAAATTCTTGACTTAAATATTACTATATGACAAATTTACTTTGATGGTATACAAAAAGATAACTTTAGATGCAGCAAAAATTTGAAGAGGAAAAAAGATTTTGGTGTACTTAAATTGGCTCAAAATTACTCAAAATACATAAAAATTAAATTATACATGAATAGAGAAGCTTGTGCATTTCAATTATTAAGTTACTTGTAGTTAGCAGTAAAGATACAATCTGACTTTTTACCTGAAAAATCACTTATTTTAGCCTAGAATCTTACCATTTCTCTTCTTCTTTCTTCTTCTCTTTCAGCTTCTTTCTCATATTCCCGGGTTTTCTTTCGTTCTCTGATTTCCCAATTCTTAAGGCGCTAAAAAAATTAAATTTTCAAAGCTTTAAAAATTTATACATAGCATTCTATAAATATTGATTAACCTATTAAGGGATACCAAGATTTAAGAATAAAGGCATTTTCTCAACTTACCTCTTGATAAGCAGCTTCTTTCTCTCGGAGTTTTCTTTCAAGTTTTCTTCGTTCGTATGCATCTTCTTCATCTTCTTCTCGGTCCCGTTTTTTGTCTTTTTCTCTTTCTCGCTCCCGTTCCCTCTCTCGCTCTCTCTCTCGCTCCCGTTCTCGTTCTCGCTCTCGTTCTCTCTCTCTCTCTCTTTCCCGCTCTCGTTCCCTTTCACGATCTCTGCTTTTTTCTCTAATGTAAACAAAATATTTTACAAATCTGTCAGTCTACTTTCTGTTTTCAAGACCAAAGTAAAGGAGGACAACATACATTATGAAATAATATAAAATCTCACAGGCCAGAATCTAGCACTTGATTTCCATAAAACTATGTAACCTCCTCTACACTCATCAGAAAGACATAAATTGCAGTCCCAAATCCTAAAATGCATTCTAATACCTAATGCTTACTGGTATGTCAGAAAACAAATACAATCTGAATATAAAATAGTTATAAATCATTAAAATGAATGGTTAGTTAATGCCCATCATATACTGAAATAATAGTCAATCCCCTGATGGTGTAAAACAGAAAAAAGGAAAACTTAATTCCCAAAAGAAATATGAAGGACTAATGAATATGTTAAGAGATAGTTTAGCTTACTAGAGATCAAGGAGTAAGTGCTGGCACATGTGGAAAACAGAATTCTGACATGTTGCATGGATTAAGTTAGAACTTTTATAAGTATCAGCACTGAAAGTTCTCAAATATTTAATTAAGAGTGATAAAATCTAATCCCAACATTTTAAGAAGCCGAGGTAGGAGGCCTGCTTGAGGCCAGGAGGCATGGTGGCACGTGCCTGTAGTCCTGCCTACTCCAGAGGCTGATGTGGGAAGATCCCATGAGCCCAGGACTTGGAGCTTACAGTGACCTATGACTGTATCACTGCACTCCAGCCCGTCTCCAAAAAAAAAAAAAAAAAAGTAATAAAACCAAACTGCAGATTACATACAGCATGATACCAAGGATCTAATCAAATAACTCTGTGTGTGTGTGTGTGTGTGTGTGTGTATTTAATATGTATATATGAAATATGTTCTTTATGGATACACTTATGCCATAAATATAAGAGATGGATTTTACACATACCAACCTCTCAATGACTGTATCAGGAATGGACAGAATGAAATAATTTTAATGCCTACTGAAGGTTGAGAGCTCTGGGTTTCCAGTTCTAGCAACTAGGTGAAATGACCTAAAGTGGAACTCCCTCCAGCCATAATCAAGTAAGAAACTGCAACACAGTAATGTATATTTTTAAACTAGCCTGAAGAAAAAGGAGCTTTTTCTCTCTTCCTTGCTGCTTTCTCCTCTTCCTTTGTTCATGTTTGCTATACCTCATTATTCAACAGTGAGATGACTCATCAAAATAATTCAATATAAGGCCGGGCATGGTGGCTCACGCCTGTAATCCCAGCACTTTGGGAGGCTGAGGCAGGCAGATTACCTGAGCTCAGGAGTTCGAGACCAGCTGGGCAACATAGCAAAACCTAGACTCTACAAAAAAAATACAAAAATTAGTCCGGGACAGTGGTGTGTGCCTGTAGTCCCAGTTACTCGGGAGGCTGAAGCAGAATTGCTTAAGCCTGGGAGGCAAAGGTTGCAATGAGCCAACACTGTACCACTGCACTCCAACTTGGGCAACAGAGCAAAAACTTGTCTCAGAAAAAAAAAAAAATCAATATAATTAAAAAATTTTAAATAAAAAATAAAACCTTCCAAAGAGTAAAATTACTAGGAGCCAGAGGTAGAGGTAGATAGTAAATTTATAGACAGAAAGATTAAGCTATGGCAGTGCAGTGGGCTACAAAAACAAATAAAAATGCTAGGGGCTAAAAAGACGTGGTGCTAGAGCTGATGTCTCAGTATACAGAACTTCAACAAAAAGAGCAACTTTAAAAATGCCCACGGACCCAAGGAGACAGCAGGGAGTCATGTCTGCCCAGAACATTGAGTGGCCACTGTGTTTCTATAAAAAGTGGCTTCAGACAGAAATTAACCAGAGTTGAAAATTATTACTTTTACCCATAGTGAGAGAGAGAGAGAGAGAGAGAGTGTGTGTGTGTGTGTGTGTGTGTGTGTGTGTGTGTGTGTGTGTGTGAGAGAGAGAGAGAGAGAGAGAGAGAGAGAGAGAGAGAGAGAGACAGACAGACAGACAGACAGACAAAGACCATGTTGTCTCTAAAAAAATTCTCAGGCTGGGCACAGTGACTCACGCTTATAATCCCAGCACTTAGGGAGGCTGAGGCAGGCGGATCACTTGAGGCCAGGAGTTCAAAACCAGGCTGATTAACATGGCAAAACCCCATCTCTACCAAAAATACAAAAAATTAGCTGGGCATGGTGGTATGAACCTGTAATCCCAGCTACTTGGGAGGCTGAGGAATGAGAATCACTTGAACCCAGGAGGCGGAGATTGCTCAGCCACTGCAGTCCAGGCTGAGTGACAGAGTGAGAATGTCTCACACACACACAAAAGTTCTCATTCCATGAATGCAAATGGTACTCTGGAGGACTACCCGATAGTTTTCTTAAAGCTATCAGGAAACAGTAACTTCTGTAAAGCCTTACCTTGATCGACTGCGATCCTTATTACGATCTGAGCTCCTTTCTCTATCCCGGTCACGATCTCTCTCTCGATCCCGATCTCGGTCTCTCTCTTTTGTCCGGTCACGGTCCCTATCCCGTTCTCGTTCCCGCTCCCGTTCTTTCTCCTTTTCTCGTTCACGTTCTCTTTCCCTTTCTCGTTCCCGTTCTCGCCTTTCTCGTTCCCTTTCACGCTCCCTCTCTCTTTCTCTCCGTTCTTTCTCAATTTCCTGTCTTTCTTTTTCCTTTTTGCCTTTCTCTTCTTCCAGTTTCTAGAAACCAATAAAAGCACTTTTAGAGTTAACTCTGTAGCTCCAGTATTCAGATTTTTCCCGGCGCAAAGCCCAGTACTGGGAACAAAAACACCAAACCACTGATACATTAATATTAAATACTTGTGGTTTTATGTGACAAATTAAACTGAAGCAATCACAAGACTAGAAAGATTTCGTGCAAAACCATATACTCTACACAGACCAGGAATCTCCAATCTTGGATGCTGGGAGATTGTGTCAGGTGTGGCTGGCCACTCAATGACTATGTACTAACTAAAATGACCATGAAGAATGTGGTGGTTCGAAATATTTTCTATGAATACGATCATTGGTTAAAACTCAACTCTGTGCATTATAGATTTCTGTAAATCCACAAGATTATTAATACTAATTAAAACCCCAGACTGCACATTACCTCAAGTTGAGGGTTTCAAAGGGCAAGTGGTATAGAAGAATACCTATAATGCAACTAAATAATCTCTGCCCTCTGATTTGCCCACCCTCCAAAAGAAACACAAGCTGAATTCAGCCAAGAACTGCCTTATCATCTATGGAAACATTTACTCCCACCATTACAAGATGGACAGCCCACCAAATACAAAAAGTTTGAAAATCACTCACTTCAAGCAAAATATATGTAACTGTAATAGTTTAATTTAAAATATTTAAAAGCAACATACTTATGCCCATTATGCCTGTAAGACAATGAAAATATATTTACAATGATAAATCCATCCTTGGAAGGAACGATTGTGCATTAACTTACAGATGCTGTGCTAGGACATGGATCGCCAACACTGGATTAACCTTGCCTACAAGCTATGTTTCTGGGAGGAAGAGCAAGTACATGGTTCACAAATAAACCAAATAACAAAGTCAGACCAAGTTTGTACCCTGACAAGATTACCAGTGTACCACACGGTTTCTACACAAACTCAGAAAAAAATACCCCAAACAGGTAAAACAAAACAAAACAAAACACATTTATCCCTTTTGTTTCACGTTTAGTTTCACCAAAATGAAATTTTAAACTGCAACAATAAAATGTGCATTTTTCTTTTCTCAGTCATGTAATGCATTTAAAACAACTTTAAAAAGCAATCTTACCTGTCAGATACTCTTTTTCTCTTCCTCATGGATCAGAGAACTTATAGCAGGTTATGAAAGGAAAGCTAATGTATGAGCAATATATTCAGTTGCTGTGCCAGTCTATATCGAAGTAGAATACGGGCAAAGTCAAAACTGAATACATTGAAATTACAAAGGGATGAAATAAGATATGATAGAAAGAGGACAGAAACTAACAGCTATTAAAGGGGGAAAAATCTCATTTCTGAAACAGTTCCAATGAATATAAAAATTTATATTGTAAAATGAGGCTAGACTATATAAAACTTACCTCAATGGCATACACTTATAAAGAAATTTGTTTATTTCTGAAATAGATACTTACAGAATATTTTAGCTGTTCCAATACTAATTTTTCCTGTAGAATTCCTCAATTTTTAATTCTTGCTTATTTCACTGTGCTCCTTATATTCAGTTATATAAATAACCATTTGTTTCAGAACTCATTTCAAAAGTTTGGTTCTAAGTAAATGAAAAAGTGAGTGAATCTAGTCCATACTAAATGTTTCCTGAAGTTTATATATGAGATATATATATATATATATATACACACATGTATACAAATACAGGTATACATGTAAACATACATGTATATTTTTAAAGAAAGACTGGAGAAGGGAAATGAGGTGAGTCTAAAATTATGTAAGAAAGTCATGAAGAGGAAAGGACAGATTAAAAAATCATAAATCTTACCTTATTCTCTCTTCAGACTCATCCGTGCTGTAAATGGACGCCCCCTGCCACGCTGATACCCTGACAGTCTGTGGTTATTTAATAAACTCATACCAAAACATGCAAAGGTTCACTGAGCTCATTTTTTGTTACTGGAGTTTCAAACAACCCTTTTAGCCAAACCACCCAATAAAAAACAACTGTTTTGGTTTTTCATTTTGATTTCTTTTTATTTTGAAAAGACATTCTGAAAATTCAAAACATTCCCTCCAGTGAAATAATACTAAGGCAGTAAAATGCCTAACAGATTCCCAAACTTTAAAGCAAATATATTTTTGAATTTTTCTTAAAACATGATTTCCTCATAATTTACCAATAACATGACAGGGTTTAACAAATAAATAAAAACAAAAAGGGGGTAAACCACACACACAACCATATACCATTTTTAAGCTTACTCGGTCCTGAATTTCAGTATTATACCTAACCAAAATTATTCATCTAAAATGATTTCCCATAGACCACCTTTTCAACTCTCAAAATTAATTTTGGGAGAATTATGTTTGTGCTCTTAGACACATTTAATTCTTGAAAAAGCATTGTGTTTGTGAGCAAGGGCTGGGCATCTGGATAGTAAGTGTTCAGCAGCACTGATTCATTGGCATTATTTGTGAACTGCAGATTTTGAAAGCAATGGGAAAAAGTAAGAATAAAAGAGAAAATGAACATTTAACATTTCACTGAGTTAAAGATCTCTCAGTCTATCAGTAAGAACCAGCAACACCTTATTATCTCGACCATCAAAATACATTTCATGCAGTGTTTGCATTGCACCGTTCAAAAGCATCATTTTCAACACCAGCGAACATTCACAGATGCACTGTCATTGAGAGAAGCTTCAAATAGGCAAAACTCGTGAGTGGGATTTACTATGCATAAATACCCATTTCCAAGCCAGTTACCCCTTTGCATATTTTTCTGAGGGGGCATCCATAAATATAATAAAAAACAGAAGCTCATACTTACATCCTATTCCTTGTTACTTTCCAAGCTGAGAGTTTCATCTTGCATTAGTCACCATATGATCTCTATCATAATGGTGGGGGTCAATGAATAGATTAGCTTTATGGGAATTTACAGTTCTTCCATGCATCTAAAATTTGGTAAGTCTGGTAACCACTGACCTACTGTTTAAAATCTCCCCCACTCAACTTAAATCTATACAAATATAAAATGTAAATTTTAATCTCAGCTCTAAAGAAAAGGTATTCCTAAGATCAAGTTAAATAACTGCCCCCAGAAATACACTACAGTGTATGTTATCCTGCTGCCCCCTGAATCTAATTTAAGTCTGACCTTGATGTTTATGTTGAAATCTAAAAATAAAATTAGCTTCTATTCATATTAAAGTGAGATGACTGCAGAATAGTCAGTAACTGAAAAAACTAAGCACAACATGTCAAGGACCACTTTAATATGGTATTGGTCTTCTGTTTCTTTTTTCTATCTAAATATCAATTAAACCTATAAAAAACATTTAAAATTATATTCTAATTTAAGGTTGATTTTTTTTGTCTCTTTGCTTTGGATTCTGTAAAAAGTCTAGATTGGTATCAAGTGAAAAGACAAGAATACTACCTTATGTGTGTCTCTGAATTTGCTGATCTCTCGAGATATCAGGTCTCTTTTGTCTTCTTCCATTTCTATAGCATTTATATCCTCCTAAAAGAAAACGGGCACAGGAGGGAATGAATAAAGAACACCCTACTTCAATATAAACAGTTAAAGGTTAGATATTCTGTATAGGTCTCAAAGAGTAAATAAGTAAACAGAATATCCACAATAACAAATCTAACAATCTAAAGTTAAATAGTGAAAAATCAGATAGACAAGAATGACAAATCAACAATCAGCAGTAAACACAGGTATTGTCAAAGCCTACAATTTAAACTAACCTTAGTGATGAGTGGATAAGGGATCAGTGGGGCCACTGGAAATCTGCGGAAAATCTGTGAAAAAATCCACCAAGAATCTTTTTTAAAAAAGAAAAACAGAGCTCATACTAATCTGCAAAGCAATGCCCTATACATTTATGACGTGAACAATACAGTACACTTCTGTGATGCTTTCTTGATTTCAAATTACTTGGGAATAGAAGTGATTTCACTCTTTTTACAATAACTGATCACACACTACCCTCCTCTCTGGATACTCCAACACCCCCAAGAAATGGAAATATAGAAGGTGCTCTCATAGTAGCAGGGCTTTCTAATCATACCAACAATATTTACCCATAACTCCTGCCACAGAGGAAGAATTTATTATCTCCTCCCAATCCACATCAAACAAATATGTTATTTTTCTCCTTTCCCACTAATGAAGAAAGAGGAAGAATGAATTCTACAGGCCTCAATTACCCTGTACCTTACTGACCCTACCAATTACCATTCCTAACAGAATACACCTCCTTAGAAAAGTTATGGGTCGGGCACGGTGGCTCACGCGGATCACGAGGTCAGCAGATCGAGACCATCCTGGCTAACACAGTGAAACCCATCTCTATTAAAAATACAAAAAAGTAGCTGGGCGTGGCAGCAGGCACGTGTAGTCCCAGCTACTCAGGAGGCTGAGGCAGGAGAATCGCTTGAACCCGGGAGGCAGAGCTTGCAGTGAGCTGAGATCGCAGCTGCTGCACTCCAGCCTGGGCAAGTGAGTGAGACTCCGTCTTGGGTGGGGGTAGGGGCGGGAACAAAAAAGAAAAGTTCTATGACCAAACGAGGAAACACATACCAAATAATAAAAATGTATGTATCTGGCCACAAAGAAAACTGAATATGGCCTAAAAAGGCACTGAAATTTAAAATAATATAAAATGTAACCATCCATTCATAACTAATCATAATATATATACCACGTAGTACTTTTTTATTACATAATGCATGCATATAAAACACGTTGAGCCAGCTATGAGTGATTCACACTTGTAGTCCCAGCACTTTGGAAGGCTGAGGCAGGCAGATCATTTGAGCTCAGGAGTTCAACACCAGCTTGGGCAACATGGTGAAACCCTGTCTCTACAAAAAATACAAAAATTAGCTGGGTATGGTAGCACATGCCTATAGTCTCAGCTTCTCAGGAGGCTAACACATGAGGATCACTTTAGGATGGGTATTCAAGGCTGCAGTGAGCCGTAATTGCGCCACCATCCTCCAGTCTGTGTGACAGAGCAAGATACTGTCTCAAAAACATAAATAAAACACTTCCAATATTTGTGGGATTTTTTTTCTTACTTTATAGAAGGGTCTCGCTCTGTGGCCCAGGCTAGACTCAAGTTCATGGGCTCAAGTAATTCTCCCCTCAGCCTCCCAAGTTGCTGGGACTACATGTGTCAGCCACCACTTCTGGCTTCTTCCAGTATTTTTAAAAGAACACTTCCTATAATTTATCTAAGTTTATCCAAAGGAAATAAGTATGAGAAAACTAAACCTTTTCTTTCAACCTGGACAATTAGCTTAGGGCCACAAAGAGGTAGCAATCAATTCACTGAGGAGGAATGTTTCAAGTTGTACTGCTCTTTCAGAATCCTCCAGTTTGATTATTCAATACCATTATTGTTCAGGGAGGGGAATGTGACATAGTTTCTTAAGGAAAGGCAGCTAAAAATTAAGAGTGGGTGGAAATCTTCAGTGAATCAGATCTGGTTTCTTGCTTAGAACAGAGACAGAACAACCATAGGCAAACAAAGTAAAATAGGGGCCGGGCGCAGTGGCTCATGACTGTAATCCTGGCACTTTAGGAAGCGGAGGCAGGAGGATAACCTGAACCCAGGAGTTGGAGACCAGCCTAGAAAACATAGTGAGACCTTGTCTCTGTAAAAAAGTTTAAAATGTGGCCGGGCACGGTGGCTCACGCCTGTAATCCCAGCACTGTGGGAGGCCGAGGCGGGTCGACCACGAGGTCACGAGATTGAGACCATCCTGGCTAACACGGTGAAACCCCGTCTCTACTAAAAACCAAAAAATTAGCCGGGCATGGTGGCGGATGCCTGTAGTCCCAGCTACTCAGGAGGCTGAGGCAGTAGAATCGCTCGAACCCCGGAGGCGGAGGTTACAGTGAACTGAGATTGCACCACTGCATTCCAGCCTGGGAGACAAAGTGAGCCTCCATCTCAAAAAAAAAAAAAAAAAAAAAAGAAAAGAAAAAAGAAAACTGACATGTAATCAAAGTATAAGAGTGATATCATAAAAAACAAACGGTAGAAATGATATGTTGTTGTCAGAACACATACGTCCTCCTTCTTTTCCTTCTTCTTCTTCCTGGGGTGAGAATCAGATTCCTGTGAGGGGGCATTTAGCTCACTGGAGTATTCACGAATTAAAACTTCAATAGCCCCTTTAATCATCTGATCTCTCCTCTTTGTTTCTTCATCCAAGGCTTCTTCATCGTCATTAGTGACAGTTTCTGGCCTTGCATTCTTAAACAAAACAGCAAATTCAGGGGAAAGAAAAATCAAGCAAGAAAATCAAAATCACTCTACAACAAGAGTTAATAAACATACATGTTTTCTCAAAAACATCTCTGTAGTCCTATTAAACACAGAATTGGTTTTGTTCTTAACATCAGAAAAGCTTCATTTTTTTATTTAACTATTCCTGAGATACTACTTCATTTTCATTTTCTTTTTCTTAATAGCTAAAAAATTCTGGTCCCTAAATTTCAGGACTAGCACACTATACGACACATCTGCAAACCATTCACAAGTTTTCAGACTGTTTTGCTCAATAGGTACACAAATAGTAACGACTCTTTTAAACAGTTGAAAATTCA